>NC_000002.12:20085512-20237028 GCF_000001405.40 Homo sapiens | reverse complement strand
GCCGATCTGAAAAGGCTGCATACTGTGTGTTTGCTTGCAGCTATTCGACACTCTGGAAAAGGCAAAACTACAAAGACAGTAAAAAGATCAGTGGTCGCAAGGGGTTGGGAGGAGGGAGGAATGAGTAGGAGGACACAAGGAATGTTTTGGGCTGTGAAAGGCTCTGTAGGCTACTGTAATGGTGGAGACATGTCATTATGCATTCGTCAAAACCCACAGAGTGTACACCATCAAGAGTGTAGTCTGATGTGAACGAGGGACCTTAGCGAATGAGAGCATGTCAGTACTGGTTTGTCAGTTGTAACAGATGTATCACACCAATGCAACAGGTTAACCATAGGAGAAACCGTGTGTGGCAGGGTGCGGAGAGGTCAATGAGAACTCCCTGTACTTATGACTCAATTTTTCTGTAAACCCAAAATTGCTCTTTAAAAAAAGGTCTATTAATTTAGGAAGGAAGGAGGGAAGGAAGGAAGAAGTAAGGAAGGAAGGGAGGAAGGGAGGGAGGGAGGGAAGAAGGGTGGGAAGGAAGGAAGGGAAGGAAGGAAGGAGGGTGGGAAGGAAGGGAGGGAGAGAGGAAAGAAGGAAAGAAGGAAAGAAGAAAGGAAGAAAGGAAGAGGGGGCTTCTCCTTACACAGGGCCTGGCTCCTGGTGGGCTCTTGCCAGGTGTGAATTCCCACCCAGCCTCCATCCCAGGGCACTGGTCCTTTCTCCCCTCCAGCCTATGGCTCACTTCCTCAGGTGTGTAATCAGGCTCTCGCTTGCCCTGGGCAACATTCCCACTCCTTAGCTTGGCAGTGAAGGCCTTCACCGGTTGCCCCAGCTTCCTGTCATCCCCACCCACTGCCACTCCCTTCAGCCACTGCCCTGAGCATTTAGGGAACACCATTACTCAGCGGTGCGTAGATGGCCCTGGCCCTTTCAGGGCCTCAGCTGGCCAAGTCCTCCCCTAGCTTGAGCAGCCCTGCCCACTTGCTCCCCTGCCTGACAAACTGCTACTCAGCAGGCAGGTTTCTGCCTGGACGTCAACTCCTCCAGGAAGCCTTCCCTGAACTCCTCCCTGCAACCCAGGACTGGGGCCCCTGGCTCTTGAACCATCTCATCATAGGACTCAAAGATTGCAGTTGCCCCAGGGCAGGGCCCTGCCTTGGACAGCATGCACCCCCAGGCCCTGGCTGGGAGTGGGCGCTCGCTGCAATTTAAGAGCATCCAAAGGACCATGGAGACACAGCGTTTGGGGAGAGCAATGTAGCAGTGGTCTCAGAATCTCCTCCAAGGCAGCCAGGCCACTTCTGTCCTAAGAAAGGTTTGTCAGCTGTGGGACGATGTCCACGTGAGGATATTCAACAGTATTGTTTGTGACAGCAAAGCCTTTAAAAATGGCACCCATCAGAAGGGGAATGGTTAAATAAATCAAGATATAGCCAAACCAGAGAATCCCAAGCAGCCACTAACAAGATTGAGTCTTATCTGTAGATACTGACATTTCTTTTTTTTCCTTTTTTTTTCTTTTTTTGAGATGGAGTCTCGCTCCATTGCCTAGGCTGGAGTGCAGTGGCATGATCTCAGCTCACTGCAACCTCCGCTTCCTAGGTTCAAGCTATTCTCCTGCCTCAGCCTTCTGAGTAGCTGGGATGACAGGCGTGTACCACCACACCCAGCTAATTTTTTTTTTCTTTTTTTTTTTTTTTTGCGACAGGGTCTCTCTGTGTCACCCAGGCTGGAGTGCAGTGGTGCAATCTCAGCTCACTGCAACCTCCGCCTCCCGGGTTCAAGTGATTCTCATGCCTTAGCCTCCCAAGTAGCTGGGATTTCAGGTGCCCGCCAAGATGCCTGGCTATTTTTGTATTTTTAGTAGAGACAAGGTTTCACCATGCTGGTCAGGCTGGTCTTGAACTCCTGACCTCAAGTGATCCACCCACCTCGGCCTCCCAAAGTGCTGGGATTACAGGCATGAGCCACCGCACCCGGCCTCCATTGTGTTTTTGTTTTGATTTTTGTTTTCAGGAGATGGGCGCTCCTAGAGCATGGGTTTATGCTGATGGGAAAGTCATCATTTCCACACCACGGAACACCACTCAGCAATGAAAAGGAACACACTCCTGATGCACACAGCTTGGATGGAGCTCAGATGCAGTCTCCTAAATGAAAGAAGCTAGACTCAAAAGGCTTCCTACTATACAATTCCACTCATAGGACATCTGGAAAAGGCAACACTTACAGAAAACCGATGAGTGGCTGCCAGGAGCCAGGGGTGGGGAAGGAGTTGACTACAAAGGGTGCAGGGAAGTTTTGGGGATGAGTAAACTGTTCCAGATCCTAACTGCAGTGGTGGTTATACAATTGCATGCATTTGAAAACAGACTGTATAACAATAAGGGCAAATTTTACTGTGTGTAAAATATACCTTAGTTTTTTTTTTTTTAAGAAAGGAAAAAATTACATTTTCTTTTTAACATTACATGCCCCCTTTTTTCCACTCATTTTGACTGTAACATAAATTTGAATTATTAAAATATTTCAGACCGGGCGCAGTGGCTCACACCTGTAATCCCAGCACTTTGGGAGGCCGAGGCGAGCGAATTGCCTGAGGTCAGGAGGTCAAGACCAGCTTGGCCAACATGGGGAAACCCCATCTCTACTAAAACACAAAAATTAGCCAGCCATGGTGGCGGATGCCTGTAATTCCAGCTACTCGGGAGGCTGAGGCAGGAGAATCGCTTGAACCCAGGAGGTGGAGGTTGCAGTAAGCCGAGATTGCACCGCTGCACTCCAGCCTGGGCAACAACAGCAAAACTCTGACAAAAAAAAAAAGAAAGAAGGAGAGAGAGAGAGGGAGGGAGGCTTAGAGAGGTTGTATGACTTGTCCAGGGTGGCAGGGCCAGAGTTCAAATCCAGACGGTTTGATGTTAGAGTGAACACATTCAACCGCCGTGCTAGGGCTCTGGAACTCAGATCCCTGCAGGGCCCAGCAGGTAGTGGACCAGCTAGAAAGACACACTCTGTGACTGTGGCTTCCGCTGGTCTTTGCTTTGACTGGATGTGGGTCCAGCATATTAGCTCTTCCAATTCAGCTAGAAAAGTCGGAATTTTTTTTTTTTTTTTTTTTTTTGAGACAGAGTTTCGCTCTTGTCGCCCAGGCTGGAGTGCAGTGGTGCGATCTCGGCTCACTGCAACCTCTGCCTCCCGGGTTCAGGTGGTTCTCCTGCCTCAGCCTCTCGGGTAGCTGGGATTACAAGCTCCTGCCACCACACCCGGCTAATTTTTGTATTTTTAGTAGGGACGGGGTTTCACCATGTTGGCTAGGCTGGTGTCAAACTTTTGACCTTAGGCGATCCACCTGCCTCGACCTCCCAAAGTGCTGGGATTACAGGCGTGAGCCACCACACCTGGCCGAAAAGTCAGAAATCTTGATTCTTACATGCAATTCTCCGATGGAAATCTCCTTTTTAAAATGGTGTAGGCTGGGTGCCAGCACTTTAGGAGGCCAAGGCAGGCAGATCACCTGAGGTTAGGAGTTCAAGACCAGCCTGGCCAACATGGTAAAACCCCATCTCTACAAAAATACAAAAATTAGCTGGGTGTGATGGCGGATACCTGTAGTCCCAGCTACTCGGAAGGCTGAGGCGGGAGAATCACTTGAACCCAGGAGGCAGAGGTTGCAGTGAGCCGAGATTGTGCCACTGCACTCCAGCCTGGGTGACAGAGCGAAACTCAATCTCAAAAAAAAAAAAAAAATAGCATAAGGGGAAAACAAAAACAAAAAAAAGAAAACAAAATAAAATAGTTTAAAGGCAAAACACTTCTACAGGCCAAATGCAGCCCTAGGGGCTGTCCCTTTGCAACCTCTGTCCCATTCCTAGGGAATGCAAAGTCACTTTCTCACCTGTTGAGTGAACTCAGTTACTCATCTGTTACATGAATTTGCATATGCATCCTGGGGCTGGAGGTGAGGCACACCTGTGTGCGTGAAGGTGCGTGCACATGTGCTACACACAGGTATGAGCGCTGACATAACACTATGACTTATACATCCTGGCTGCGGTGAGCTCAGGAATCTCTTCAGAGCCCAGCCCAGATTCTCCCCTGCGGGCTTTAGAATCTCCAACTTCTCTATGATTTCTAGGGTCCTACCTTGTGCCAGGTAAAGTGCTAAGTGTTTTATATGTATTATGTCAGAATGCTTAGGAACTTGCCTAAAATGAGTCTATCTGCCTCTCCCAGTGAATCCCACTGTGGGTATCCACGGCATCACTAGCATGCAGGGGGCACTTACACGTGTGTGCCAGGCCCTATGGAGGGCTTAGCTCATTCAATGCTTTTGACTCTTTGAGGTAGGTACTAGTATTTCTCCAATTCACAGAGGAACAAATTAAAGAGCAAAGAGGTTACTGCTTGCCTGAAGTCACACAGCTAAAGTAGCTCAAAGAATGTGTAGAAGAACCGGCTGGGCAACATGGCAAAACCCCATCTCTACAAAAAATACACAAATTAGCCAGGCATGGTGGTATGTGCCTGTGGAGGCTGGGTGGGGAAGATCACCTGAGCCCAGGAGGCAGAGGTTGCAGTGAGCTGTGATTATGTACGTCACTGCACTACCCCAGCATGGGTGACAGAGTGAGACCTTGTCTCAAAAAAAATCAAAACAACAACAACTCCTCCCAGCTCCCCCCCCCCCGCCCCTCCCCTCACAAACAGCATATTGCATGCAGCAATTAGCAGGGCTTTGTAGAGTCTGTCCCTGGGCAGCCAAGGCGGGTGGATGACCTGAGCTCAGGAGTCCAAGAGCAGCCTGGCCAACATGGTGAAACCCCATCTCTACTAAAAATACAAAAATTATCCGTGTGTGGTGGCAGGCACCCGTAATACCAGTTACCCAGGAGGCTGAGGCAGGAGAATCACTTGAACCCGGGCAGTGGAGGTTGCAGTGAGCCGAGATTGTGCCACTGCACTCCAGTCTGGGTGACAGAGCAAGACTCTGTCTCAAAAAAAAAAAAAAAAAAAAGTCTGTCCCTAGCAAAGCAGGTGAGGTGGGACAGGGGGAGCTACTTCCCTGCTCCAGCCCGAAGAGCACCAGCACGGGCTCCCCTTCCCCACAGGGGCTGAGTCACAGAGAGCCTGGTGCTGCTCAGACTCCAGATCCTTGATGATGCCCTGCAGGGCAGGGGCTAGTGTGAGCCAGTGGCGAGTGGCCTCACTCCAGGAAATTGCTCAGGGTGACTGGGCCTAGCTGCACCTGGGAGGGTGTGGCTGGTGTTGGCACTCCTCCCTGCTGGAGAGCTTCCTGTCCAAGCTTCCAACAAAGGCAACAAAGGCTCATCCTTGAGGCAGCCTAGAACTGAGTCACGAGCCCCGGGGTGATCTACCAAAGGACTTCAGCACCCAGTGCTGCCCCAGCCTAGGCAGCCACTTTACACACTGATTCGGCCCCTCTGACGCTAGCTGTTTACGTAAACCAGGTGGAAATGGACCCTCACCAAGGATTTTCCACATTGCACTGTTCCTCTCCTTCATCCTTCTCCAAGCCTCATCGCATCCCACCTCCTCCATATTATTCAATCCTGGCTCCCCACATTGTACCTTCACGGCCCCTGCATAGGGTGTCCCAGCCCACAGTCTCCCTCCCTGCAGCCTGCCCTTCGCACAGTGGCCAGAGGATCTTTTCAAAATGCAAACCACTGGCTCCTCCAGCCTAGGCACGGCCCGTTACTGGCACACACTGCTCAGGCTCTCTCCCTCTGATCCAGCCCTTGCCAGAGGTCCTGTGCCCCGGCCAGTCCAGCCCACCTCAGACTCCTTCCAGTTCCTGAACATCCTGAAGCTCTGTCTTGCTTCTTTGCCTGCTCTTTGCTGGGTTTCCTGTTTGGAATGTCCTTTCCCTGCTCTATCTGCCTGCGGTAGGCTGAATAATTACCCTTAAAAGATATCTATATCCCAGCCCCTGGAGCCTGTGAATGTTAACTTATAGAACAACAACCAATACAAGGTGGTGGTGGTGGGTCTTTGCAGATGTGCAGATGTGATTAAGAATTTTGAGATAGGGGCGATTATTGGGAATTATTCCAGTGGGCCTTGCATGCAGTCCTGTATTCTTACAAGAGACAGCCAGAGGGAGATTTCACTATACACAGAGAAGAAGGCAATGTGAAGATGGAGCAGAGAGAGCTTTGAAGCTGCCAGCTTTGATGACTGGAGTGATGGGACCACAAGCCAATGAATACCAGCAGCCACCAGAGGCTGAAAGGGGCAAGAGATGGATTCTCCCTAGAGCCTTGAGAGGGAGCACCAACCTGCCCACACCTTGATTTCAGCCCAGTGAAACTGATTTTGGACTTCTGACTTCCAGAACCGTAAAAGAATGAGTGTTTATTTATTTATTTATTTATTTAGAGATAGGGTCTTGCTTTGTTGCCCAGGCTGGAGTGCAGTGGCATGATCTTGGCTCACTGCGGCCTTAACCTCCCAGGCTCAAGCAATCCTTTCACCTTAGCCTCCCAAGTAGCTGGGACTACAGGCGCGTGCCACCACACCCAGCTAATTTTTTTGTTTTGTTTTTTTTGCAGAGGTGAGGGCTCACTATATTGCCCAGGCTGGTCTCAAACTCCTGAGCTCAAGAAATCCACCCACCTTGGCATCCCAAAGTGCTGGGATTACAGGTATGAGCCACCTCACCCAGCCTAAGTGGGTGCTATTTTAAGCCACCAAATTTGTAGAAATTTATTACAGCAGCCACAGGAATCAAATACACTGCCCAAATCCTGTTTCTTGATCCACGGACAGGTTCTAATGGCTTCCCACCCACCCTCAACCTTCCTCATCATTGAAACCTTTGGGAACTTTATCCCTGCGTCCGGAATCCATCATTTCCTTACTGCTGCTGATGAACAGGTTAGTATTGCACGCACTTCTTTGTTTTATAATGATTGTTTAGTTCAGTTTTTCCCCAAAGACTGAACTCACAGAAAATGAAAACCTTATGTTTTCACTTTGGTATCTCCGGCACTCAGCCCTGGGCCTGGCTCCCAGTAGGGTCTCTGCAGCATAGCACTGCCGCATTGCACAACTCCACAGGCACCATTCACACCCGATGCTATGGACTGTGAATCTCTAGAGCACGATTCCACAGGACCCACCCTCCCTCCCTTCCTTCCCTCTCTTTTTCTCTTTGTCTTTCTTCCTTCCCTCCTTCTTCCTTTTTTCTTTCTTTTTTTCTTTCTTTTTCTTTCTTTCTCTCTCTATCCCTCCCTCCCTTTTTTTCTTTCTTTTCCTTCTTTTTCTCTCTCTCTCTCCCTCCCTTCTCTTCTTTCTTTTTCTTTCTTTCTTTCTCTGTCTCCCTCCCTTCCTTCTTTTTTCTTTCTTTCCTTCCTTTCCTTCCTTTTTTCTTTCTCTTCCTTTTTCCTTTCTCTCTTTTCCTTCCTTTCTTCCTTCCTTCCCTCGTTCTCTCTTTCCTTCCCTTCCTTCCTTCCTTCCTTTCTTCTTTCTTTCTCTCTCTGTCTCTTTCTCTCTTTCTCTCGAGTGCAGTAGCACAATCTTGGCTAACTGCAACCTCTGTCTCCCAGGTTCAAGGGATTCTTGTGCCTCAGCCTCCCGAGTAGCTGGGATTATGGACATGTGCCACCACACCAGGCTAATTATTGTACTTTTAGTAGAGATGGGGTTTCACCATGTTAGCCAGGCTGGTCTCGAACTCCTGGCCTCAAGTGATCCATCCACTTTGGCTTCCCAAAGTGCTGGGATTATATGCATGAGCCACCGCACCCAGCCAGGATACCATTTTCATGGAAGACACTGAATCATGCTTCCTGGAACTGGGTAATGCTCCATCTCTAGACATATTTATCAAATAAATGAACTATACTCCACTCTCCTCCTCCAAAACAAAAAAGTTATTCCCATAGACAAAGGGTTCCTAGGCCTCCCTAGGATGATGGGCACCATGAGGTGATAAAAGTGGTCCCTTACGGGGATCGCTTTGGGGAAGTAGATACTCTGATTTGGATGTGTAAATTCCAATGATATCTACAAAAGGTGTATTATTCTCTCTCTTTCCTGCTATCAAATATTAGAGGCAACTTAGAAGGCAAGGGAAATTATAAGTTAGAAAGGGACAGTCAGCACAGGGGCAAGGCAGGTTTGAGGTTGAGAGCAGAGAAGCAGGACATAAAGTCCAATCCACTTGCTGCACACTGAATCCCCAGATGATTTGGAGCTGCCAAAGCACGAAAGTGCAGACACACTTGGTTACATATTTCTCAATATCTAAGAATGAACATATGGCCAGGCACAGTGGCTCACGCCTGTAATCCCAGCACTTTTGGAGGCCGAGGTGGGTGGATCTCCTGAGGTCAGGAGTTCGGGACCAGCCTGACCAACATGGTGAAACCCATCTCTACTAAAAATACAGAAGTTAGCCAGGCATCGTGGCGGGTGCCTGTAATCCCAGCTACTTGAGAGGCTGAGGCAGGAGAGTCACTTGAAGCCAGGAGGCGGAGGTTGCAGTGAGCCGAGATCATGCCATTGCTCTCCAGCCTGGGGGACACAGCGAGAGTCCGTCTCAAAAAAAAAAAAAAAAGGATGAACATATTCGTTCCTTAGACGAAACCAAAACTTTCCACTGCTTCTAGGTCTTCATGTCTCACAACAGACCCAAGGACAGCTCCGCAGCCGTGGTGGGTGAGGGGCTTCCTCTGGAGTCCCCCGATGGCACTCAGGGCCATGCCCCTGCACTGGGACCCAGTGAGAGCCAATCCTACGGTGCATTAGAGGAGACATACGCCAGTGTGGCCTTCAGACAGTTCTCTGAAAAACCTCTCCAACATGGCTCCTTCTAGCCTACACCTCTTTTTTGGGCAGGAATTGTCCCCAAACTTAACATACAGTCTGGGGCTGGGAAACTGGCTGGGCTGCCTCCTAGAGGCTCTTTGTAGCAGCATCTTCAAAGCCATTCCTCTCACCGTCCTCCTGAGGCACCTCTTCTTCCTTTTTCCAGTTGTCCTCCCCATACTCTTCTGAGATGATTCACTTAGTCTTATACAGAAGAATGAATTCATCAGTGTATTTTTAGGATTAGAATTGCTGGCAAGTGAGAGAAAATTCAGAGAAACAGTGTCCTAAACAAACAAAAAGAGACATTTTCCCATCATGTATAAGTCTGCGTGGGCAGTCCAGGGATGACGCTATACTCCATGGGGCAGGGACCCATGCTTCCTTTAACTTGTTCCTCTGCTGTGGATGGCCTCTGTTCCCATGTTCACTTCATGGTCCAAGAAGGCTGCTTCAGAGGCAGCCATCAGATCTGTATTCCGCCCAGGAGAAAACAGAAAAGGGAAGGAGAGCATGCTTGACACCTTTCTGAAAGTGCATGTACCACTTCTGCTCATGTGCCACTGGCAAGACCCTAATCATGTGGCTACGCGTGGCTGTAAGAGAGGCAGGGAAAGGTAATCTTTATTTTAAATAGCCATAAGCCCAATTGAAATTTAAGGAATCTCTTACTGAGAAAGAGGAAAACAGATGTGATAAGTAAACAGAAGTGTCTGCCCAACCAGTCGGCAACTAAAGGCTTCAGCAAAACATTTCCTAATGGGAAGGATGGTCAGACTCAAACAGCAATAAGATATAATTTTACTTGCATCAGCTGGCAAAATATAAAAGGCCCAACACCAAGTCATAGGAGGATGTAGAAAAATGGAAATGCTCATAACTGCTGTTGGGAGTGTAAATTACTATAAGCCCTTTGGAGAGCAATTTGCTTAGAGCAATTGCTTACAACAATTCCTGAGAAAGTTGAAGATGTTTATACCTATAATCCAGAGCTCTACTTCTAGAGAAAGCCTCACACATGCACTCAAGAAGACAAGTATAAGGGCCAGGCACGGTGGCTCACGCCTGTAATCCCAGCGCTTTGGGAGGCCGAGACGGGTGTATCACCTGAGGTTGGGAGTTCAAGACCAGCCTGACCAATATGGTGAAACCTTGTCTCTACTAAAAATACAAAATAAATAAATAAATAAAAAATTAGCCGGCCTGTGGTGGCGTGCGACTGTAATCCCAGCTATTTAGGAGGCTGAGGCGGGAGAATTGTTTGAACCCGAGAGGTCGAGGCGATTCTCCCTGCCTCAGCCTCCCGAGTAGCTGGGATTATAGGCACCTGCCACCATATCCGGCTAATTTTTGTATTTTTAGTAGAGATGGGGATTCACCGTGTTAGCCAGGCTGGTCGAGAACTCCTGACCTCAGGTGATCTGCCCGCCTCGGCCTCCCAAAGTGCTGGGGTTACAGGCGTGAGCCATCGCGCTTGGCCGTGAGTGACTTTTAAAAAATGAAAAGACTCCATCAAATCCTCCCTGACCCCAGTTTCCTCTGTTGTGAGCAGTAGAGAAAGGTAAGATTCCAAAATTCCTATTTTTCCACCATACTGGGTTGAAGGGATCTGTGGAGCCACCCTCTGGTAGAGGTAGAACCTTCGAAAAGGGCATTTTTAATCCACAGGGACTCCTCGAGCTCGGCTGGACCTCCGTGGTGCCGTGCTGTGAGACCATCCATCACTCAGGCACTCAGCGAGCCCACATCGGCCCCCAAGAACCCTGATGAAGGTCTTCCTGCCCCCTAGACAGACTTGGGGAGACGGACACCCCAAAAGCGAGAGCTCTTTGAGGTCAAACAGGTGCTCAGGAGCAGGGGTACAAGCAGGCCATCATCTTTTAGTGCTGTGAGGAGGAGTGGGGGGATGAGATGGGGACGCAGGAGGCTGCTCGGCTCCAGAGCCTGCTCCACGGTGGAAGGTGGAGGAGAGTCCAGGGTCCCACGGTCAGTCCCTGCGTGGCCCAGGAAGGTTTAATTCTTTTAAAGAGGAACACTGGACACTTCCCGATATTTTCTTGGTCCCCAGCTCAGGCCGACCCAAGTTCTTGCCTTCCGCCTAGGGAAGACAGGGGAGGACGACGCCATCTTTGGTCTCAGGGCCCAGGTGCGAAGGTCGTTTGGCACCATCTCTCCTGCCTGCCAGATGTGGGCAGGGCCCGTCCGGTTCTTCCCCTTTGCTCTCTCGGCCGTTTCCCCTACACCCGCAGGCCTTCCACAGCTTTTTGAACTGAGGCCCAGGGCCTCGCAGGGGATCTCGAAGGAGCAGCAACTGCACGGTGCTCCTCAGATCCGCGTGCCCGAGGTCACCGGGGAACAAAGAAGTTACTTATTTTTCCTTTTAGCTCAGATGAAGAGAGAGGGCGTTGTCTTCCACAGAAAAACGCTGCGAACTCCGCCCCCGTCCCCCTTTTTCTTGCAGCCCTTCCGTGCGGGTGCAGCTGTTTAAACTAAGGCCCCAAGTCTCCAGCACTTTGTGGAGTGCAGGAAGAACGCGAGCGTACGGGAGAATCTGGGCCGGCGGGGCGCAGCGAGCCGCATCGCAGCTGGAGGACAGCCGGGGTGTGTCTGTGTGTGTTTGCCCGTCGGTTGAAGGCCCCATCGCCCCCGGGTCCCCGCCCTGCCCCAGAAAGCGTTCCCCAAGAGAGCTAGGAGTCCTGCGCACCTGGAGCGCGCTCCGCGTCCACGCCCAGAGGGCGCTGCACACTCGCGCCCGAGGACTGCCTGCCCCCCTTCAGCCCCTCTCCCGGGCTGCGCCTCCGCACTCCGGGCCCGGGCAGAAGGGGGTGCGCCTCGGCCCCACCACCCAGGGAGCAGCCGAGCTGAAAGGCCGGGAACCGCGGCTTGCGGGGACCACAGCTCCCGAAAGCGACGTTCGGCCACCGGAGGAGCGGGAGCCAAGCAGGCAAGAACCTTAGGAGCGGGCCGGGGGTGGGGCGTTCCGAAGGGGCCGGGAGGGGTGGCTGGGGGGCGGGGTCCTGGGGGGTGTGGACTGGGGCTGGCCGGGAGACCTGGCGGAGCTGGGGGTGGGGGGCCAGTTTTTGCAACGGCTAAGGAAGGGCCTGTGGGTTTATTATAAGGCGGAGCTCGGCGGGAGAGGTGCGGGCCGAATCCGAGCCGAGCGGAGAGGAATCCGGCAGTAGAGAGCGGACTCCAGCCGGCGGACCCTGCAGCCCTCGCCTGGGACAGCGGCGCGCTGGGCAGGCGCCCAAGAGAGCATCGAGCAGCGGAACCCGCGAAGCCGGCCCGCAGCCGCGACCCGCGCAGCCTGCCGCTCTCCCGCCGCCGGTCCGGGCAGCATGAGGCGCGCGGCGCTCTGGCTCTGGCTGTGCGCGCTGGCGCTGAGCCTGCAGCCGGCCCTGCCGGTGAGTGCGGCCGGCGGCCAGGCGGGGAGGCGGCGGGAAGCCGGGACTGGTCACCCGCGGATGCCGGCGGGTGCACGTGGAGGGGGAGGGGGAGCGAAGACTTCCCTTCTTCCCGCGCTAGCCCAGCGGGTCCCGGGACGGTGAGCCCCGAGACCAGGGCTCCAGCCCCAATTTCCTCCGCTGTCGGTGGGTGCCGCACCGGTCCCGCGCTGGGGAGGGTGGGGGGCCGGGGCCCCGCGCTCAATTATGTAAAACGTCTCCACATCTGTCGGAGCCCGCCAGCCCACAGCGGCGCCCGGGGTCGCCCGTTCCCACCCTCCTCGCCCCGGCCACCGCGGCGGCCGGGCCCCCGTCGGTGACCCGGGGGGATGCAGTGACCGCGGCCACAACGCCCCCCCTGCAGACCCTAATTCAAACCAGACCCGCGGGCTTGCGCCCCAGCGCCGCCGAGCCCGGGCGCCCCGCCCCTTGCGCCAGGGCAAGTTTGGGCGCAGCGCGGCCGGCGCGGGAGCGGGAGGCGGCCGCGTTGGCCCGGGGAGCCGGGCCAGGGCTGCGTGGGGGGCGCGGGCGAGCGTCTGCAGGGCCCTCGGGCTTGCCGTGGGCGGCTCGAGGTGAGCTGAGCCGGCCCGGCAGCGGGAGGTTCCGGGAAGTTGGCCTCGGAACGCTGGAGACCCGGAGGAGCCCAACTTCTGGGCTGCTGAAGTTGAGCTGGCCCCGGAGGGCGCGTTCCCGTGCCGGGCACGGCCGAGGCGCAGGCGCCTTCCACGCGAGGGGACCCGGGAATGGCCTCCCGCTCCCCGGCTCGGCTTTGTGCTGAAGCCGCGCGGAGGGAAGGCGGGTCCCTTGGCCCGCCCAGTGCAGCTGGGAGAAAAGAGGGGCAGATGTGGAGCTCGGGGCTGTAAGAGGCCTTTGGGTGGGATGCAGCATCCACCTTCAGCGGGGCTGACGCTCCACTAAAGAGGGACGTGGCCGACAAAGAGCAGCCTGAGGGTCCCCAGAAAGTGGCTCTCCCGCCCCGGCCACCGGCCGCTAGCCCGCCTTCCCCAATGGGGGCGCTTTGTTCTCGGCCCCTGTAACCCTTTCCTGGGAACAGCCCCGTAACGCCGGCCTTGACGGGGGCTGGGACCTGGGCCGCAGCCAGGTGTCAGCGCGGGCCGCCCGGTGCCCGAGTCTGCCGCCCGAGTTCGCCTCCCCAGCCCCCGCGCCCGGTGCTGGCGTCCCGGGGTCCCTCCTGCGGGCCGGCTCGGCCATCCCCAGGGATGCAGAGGGGAGGTGCGGAGCCAGGGGCGCTTCCCCTTCCGGAAGTGGCGGTGTCTCGCCACTACATCTGGACAGTTCGACTTCCCCAGCTCTGGCAAAGGGAGGCACGTGGGCAGGGAAGGGGCGGGGGCGGGGTGGGCACTCGGGTTCTCCACTGCTAATGTGGCATCTGGACAAGTCTCAGCAGCGCTGACCCTCCGTAAGCGTTGCCTCGTGTAGTAGCTGCCAGTTATTGAGCGCTTTGGTTTTTTTTTTCTTTACAGAGTCTGTCTCATGGGAGATGAGGTAGGGACAGTCGTTTCTGAGACCGATGTGTAAAGCGCCCTCCCTGCTTCCCAGGTGACTCGTGCTTCCAGACATTTTCCGGTCCAGGAGAGGTCCCTGTGCCTATTGAACTGTGAATGGGCTGGACTGTGAGGGGTATCTGGGAGCACGGGGAGGGCCATGATTTCCGAGCTGGGTCTCATGCACTCCTGGCTTTCAGGTCCAAGAAGCTGCTCTCTAGGGTGGTGGTTTCTGTGGAACTGAGACTGTGCTTGGAGTCTTCGCTCCGAGTTTGGAGAAGAGAATGGAGCTGGGTGCCTTACCTCCCTGGACCGCTGGGCATCACCTCACTGCCCCATTCTCGCACATGATGGGGCCTCAGCAGGGGCGGCTGAAGTTGGGTCCTCCACCTATTTCCGGCTGGATTTAGGAGGGCTGCTGGTTCCCTTGCCTGCCTGGGGTAAAGCAGACATTCCAGAGCCCTGGGATCCCACCGCACCCGTTAATGCTGGGGAGGCAGGTGGAGTTTGGGCTTCCCCGTGAACTGCCTTTCCTGGAGTTTTCTGTGGGCTGGGGCAGATGCTGCAGTGTGAGGCATTATTTCTTGCCCAGAAACTTGGACATAGGGCCCAGGAGGCAGGAGAGTCTCAAAAGGGGAAAGGAGGGAGACTCCCTGGAGCTGCAGGGAGGGAAGGCTTCCTGGAGGAGGTGCTTGAGCTGAGCCTGAAAGCCCCACCTGAGCTTTGGGGTCAGACTCTGGCTTGAAGCTTAGGTGTTCTTTTTGCTTTTTCTGATCTTACAAAGATTAGTTTGTTTTCTCTTTCCCAGTTCTGCCCTCTTCCTCTTACAGTGAATGTCCATGTTAGGTTAAAGGTGGGGGCATGCACTGCCTTCCCAAAGCTCTGATACCCCTTTCCTAAAAGAAATCAGGCAGCTGGGATTTGCTTTAAGATGGGAGAAGGTATTTGCAAGTGGCAGAGATCTGACCCTCTCTGAAAGTTCACTCTGGCCCCAGTGGGAAGCAGGTCAGAAACCCCCTGGGGACCAGGGAAGCAAGGAGTGACTGAATGGGTGAGGGGAGGCTGCTAGGAGAGGAGGTTGCTCAAAACCACTCCCAAGAGACTAAAACAGGTTTGTCTAAAAAGGTTTCTCTCTCTCTTTCTCTCTGTGTGTGTGTGTGTGTGTGTGTTTACTGTGGTCTTTTGTTTCTGCCATGTAAGAAAAATGGCTTGTTCTGGAATAGTTATTTGCTATTTTTCATTCTTTCTCTCTTCTCTTTCTTGAAAGGCATAAAATCCCTTTTGCCCTAATTATGGGGGCTAGTAGAGACATTTTCCCACAGCCTGGCAGAGAGGGTATGGGGGGAGGCACTAGCTGCCTCCGCTCAGGCTCAGAGCCTTCTAGAAGTGATGTCATCCCTGGCTTCAGCTCTACAGGGAGGGTGGAGCGGTTTAAGTCTCTACCTGTGGCTCATGATGGGTTCCAGTAAAACCTCATTAACACACATTGGTAGGGAGACAGTAAGAAAGGAGAGAGCCTGGAAAGAATTAATGAAAAGCTTGACTTCTGCAGTTTTTTAGAGGAATCTTTTCTGTTGCAGCAGAATTTTGGATTCCTGAAATCCCTTGGGAATGAGGTGTCCTGTGTATTCATATTTTTTCATCAAGCTAAGAATCCCTATTACCCTCGAGTATTCTTACTCTGGGCATGACTCTCTGAAGTATTTATTTCCCTTCCTTTATCAACCAAAAAATGCTAGGCATGATTTAATCTCTGCCTGCCAGGGTCGTCCTCCTCATCATTGTGCTGGGTTAGGACATTGTCTCCTGGATTTACTGTGCTCTGAAGAGCACTTTGCCCCTCTGCCTGGTGCCCCAGGTTGCTCTGTTTTGAATTCTGGTCTTTCTCCTTTTTCCAGAGAGCAGCCAGAAGTGACATTTATGTGCCTGAGTGTAGCCAGCAGCTTTTCTGATCAGTTCTAATTTGTTACTTTTCTCCAGTGGCACTAAGAAACTAATCAGATGAGTTAGGCTTATTTCCAAGCTGAGAGTTTTAGGCTCTGGGTAAGGGCCTTGCCTGTGAGTGAGACTGATGATCTGTGATATGTGGATTTTGTACCCTTCATGAACTTCAGCTGGGACCTGTTGCAGTCTCCCCTCTACCTCCCTGCACCCCACCTAGAGTAACAAAGAGGTGCTGCCAAGGTGAGGCCTTTAGGGGCCTCTCTCAGTGGAGAAAAATGAGTCATCTCTTGGGGGAAGTGCTTGCTGACCCCCATGTTCCAAGTTCCTCGACCTGGTTTGACTTGTAAGTGACTTGCTGGTCACAGGTAGCTGGACTGACCAGCTGAGGGCCATTATTCTTTAGCCTTGACTGTTACTCTCAGCTTCGGTCATGCCCCCAACTCTTCACCACATGTTTGATTTGGATTTTAGTTCCTGTTTCTATATAATGTGCATCCATACTGTGTGACAGGCCAGAAATGGCTTTGGATTAAGTAGAGCCCCAGGACTGAGTCTCAACTCTGCCACTAATTTACTCCATAATCTGGGGTGAGTCACTTTCCTTCCAAGTCTTGTTGTCCTCATCTGTAAAGCGGACATCATGATACCTGTTCTCCCTGTCCTCATTCTGTCATTTGCGTATTCATTTCATAATGGATATGTGAAAGTACTTTGTGATGAAACCGCCTGAGGAAAGTTAGCTGTCGATATAATTAAGGTTACCTTTTTTTGAGTGCCTACTGTTGAGTGCTCAGTACTTTTCTTTCATTCTTATTTGAACTTTACCCAAAACCTTTACAATATATATCATTGCCCCACTTTGTGGATGAGGAAGCTGAGGCCTAGGGTGGCGGGCCCCTCCATTGGCTGAGACAGGATTTGTGTGTGTGTGTGCAGTGTGTGTGTGTGTGCGCATGTGTATGGGTATGGTGTGAATACATCGCAAGACTGTCAAGTCTCCCCTGAGAAGCCTGGCATTTGGGGGCTGGCTGAACCCTGCAAGGCTCTACTGGGCATTTGCTGGTCCGTCCTGAAGACCATGGATATGAGCGTTTTGGGCTGAGGGGGCTGGGCCAGGCTGAGCTGGCCTGAACAGTGCCATCAGGCAAACAACACTGGGTTGGGTTCAACTGATGGCCCCTCAGGGACAGGCGAGAGCTCCTCACAGGAAGTAAATTGGGACCTGAGAGAGCAGGGTGGGAACCATGTGGACTGGGTGTGGAGGGGCCTGTTTGGATGGCGCCCTCAGGCCAGACCCCAGGTGGTGCCCAGCTTGCACCATCTTTTACCTTGGGCGCTGGGGAAACATTCTTGGAATTAGCAGATTCTTTTGTAAGCCTGGGAGGCGGGCAGCATGGCGCGGGTGGTGGCCAGAACCCAGGACTCCTGGCTCTGGTGCCACAGTCACCTCCTGGTCCCCTCCAACACCAGGTCCTGCTGGGGGTGGGGACAGCCCATGAGGAACTGGTCATTAGGCGATTGCCGGGCTTCAACTGTTGCCCGATTGCCTTCTTTTCACCAACCAGTTTTGGAATCTTGGGTTGAAAGGGCCCCTGAGGCCCTGAGAGATTCAGGGAGTTTGTGGAAAGAGGGCTTTGGTGCTGGGATCCTGTACCCTGTCACTTCTCTCTCAGCTGTTCCAGCAGAGGTTGGGTTTTGGATGGGAGCATGTATTCTGGAACCTTCCACTGAATGGGACATGCGTGCCCTGACAGGCTCCAGGGGAAGGCTGATGTGTGTATGCCCCTCACCACAAGGAGGTATGTTTGGGGTGCAGGTTGTAGAGGTGAGGCCGCAGAGGCAAGACCCTGGGCTTGGGGCTACTTCAGCAACTGTCTTATCCAGCTGCAGGTGGTCATGGGGCCCACGCCATCGCTTCCCCTGGAAGAGTGAGCTTTACCTGTGATGTTACTGCTTTTGCCCGCCCTCAGGAAGCTTTCATTTAGGTGGAGAGACAGTGTGAGAAGGTCCCTGGCATTCCTGAGACAGGTGCACCGGGTCAGCTTGCCTGTGGTCAGTACTGTGGGGATCTCGGGGAGGGGTGGCCTGAGCCTCCCCTGGCAAGTGTCCTGCTTTTTGGCAGGGCCTGTAAGGGTGGGGGCAAGCTTATGGGGCAAGGGGGGTGTGCCGTGGGAAATCTTGGGTCTTGGGGCCATTGAGTCAGGAGAGCAGAACAGGCGGCGGCTGGACCTGCTCCTGCACTCAGTCACTTGCCCAGCGACCTCTCCTGCTGCGCTCGGGGCTTCCCGAGGCTGCCACTGGTTCCTCTCCCCACTGGGAGCCCCTCAAGGGTCTCTGACCTCCTGGCTTTTATGGCTTCGTGGCTGCCTAATTTTGTGTAGAGGATGGGCCTCCTCTGGCCGTCAGCCCTGGGAAAAACTCTCTGCCTAGTGATTCACCTGAGGGTTGCAGCACCATGAGATGCTGTGTGTGTGTGTGTCTGTGTGTGTGTGTGTCTGCGTGTGTATGTCTGTGTGTATATCTGTGTGTCTCCATGTGTCTGTGTGTGTGTCCATGCATCTGTGTGTCTTTGTCCATGTACGTGTGTGTGTCCCTCTATGTGTCTGTCTCTTTGTGTTTGTGTGCGTCCGTGTGTGTGTCCGTGTGTACGTGTGTCTCTGTGTGTGTGTGTGTCTGTGTGTTTATGTGTCTGTGTGTGTCTGCGTCCGTGTATATTTGTATCTGTGTGTGTCTGTGTCCGTGTATATGTGTGTCTCTGTGTGTGTGTGTCTGTGTGTGTGTGTGTCTGTGTGTGTGGTGGGGGGGTGCTTACTGCACAGGTTGCCACTGCATTTGGGCCTTGCCTGGGCACTCCTGACTTGCCTTCCCCTGTCAGGCTGCAGTCTCAGTTTTGGGGGGCCTGGTCACTACCTGGCTGCAGCTTCCTTTTCAGACACCAGCTTCCTTTCTGCCTCCCACCTCTGCTGGTGGCCTTTTCTCTTTTTCACTGTGGCTCTGACATCCATCATGGCCTTGGCCTTGGAAATCTGTGGGAGTTATTCCTACAGAGACGGGCAGTCAGGTCACCTGGCCTTCCTGGTTCAGCTGAGCCCCGACTGTTTGGCTGTGGCAGGCCATTGCCTCTCTGGGCCTCAGTTTCCTCCTCTGCCAAAGGGTCGTTCTTCCTGTCCTCAGTTCTGAGAGCCACATGGTTACAGAGAGACCTTATCCTGGGAAGGGCAGAGGTGGCACTGAAGGACTTGTTGGGGGCTCACATTTCTCTGCCAGTATTCTTTCTTGGGACTCGAAGGAGAGTTGGTTGCCCAAGGGGTCATCGGTGGGATGGGCAAGGCCAGTGGAGGGCAGGGCAGGCTGCTTGAGGGGTGGATTCGAGCTCCTTGTGGGAGCTGGAGTGGACAGAGGTGCCTGGGTGACGTTGGGCCAGGGCTGGGGCTGTATGATGTTCTCCGCACACACACCCAAGAGTCCTGGCACCTGCCCGAGGTCCGCTCAGCAGCAGGAATGAAGGCTGTGGCGGGCAGGTTGGGGCAGTGGGGAAGGCGGGCATGTTGATCAGTCCACTCATCAGCTGAGTCATGGTGCCAGGGCCACGGGTCCTCCCCTGAGACTCACCCAACCAACCTTGATCCACTGCAAGCCCTCTGGGGGCCGGCACGAGGCAGAGAGTGCAGCAAGACACAGCCGGGGCTCAGGGGCCTGGCTTTCTGTCTTGGCCCTGCCTCCTCTCTCTCGAGTGACTGTGTACAGAGGCCTCTCTTGGTCTCAGTGAACCCATCTGTGACATAGGGGGAAGGGGCTGAGAGGCAGAGGTGAGGCAATGCTTTTGGGTGTGCATGGCCTCTTGTGGCTGTGTCGTGTGACTGGTGGGTATCTGGGGGCCTGCCTGTGCTCTGCTGCCTCAAGTTCTGAGGGCTTCATGAGACCTATCTGGCTTGACCAGATCTAAAGCCCAGATCCTGGGTACCTGCTGTGTGCGTAGCCCTGTGCAGTGGTGAGAGTTCCATATCTGGTCCAGGGGATTCCTGTAAGAGAGGGTGGCTGTTACTGGAACCAGACGAGAGAGGTGGTCTCTGCAGTGACAATGAACGGGATTCGCGATTCAGCACCTGTCACGTCTCCCCACAGGAAGGGTTTTGTCCCAGAGTCCCACGATACAGCAGTATCGAACTAGGAGCCTGGGCTGTAAGGCAGGACATTTTATGGAGCTCCAAACCTGTGGGGCTGCCTTCTGGCCATGGGAAGTGTCAGGGCAGGGGGTCTCCCTGAGGGAGCTGCAAAGGCTGCCAGTCCTGCTCTAGGACCACTCGTGTGCACCATGGATCTCCAAAGGTGTTCAGGGAACTCTTCCCCACGGTGGCGTGAGCTTGAGTTCATAGTCATTTCCACGTGGGGCTGCCTGGCTCTCTCTGTGGATCTTCTGTGCTACTCAGCAGGCTGAGAGACAGAACTCTGGCGCCTGGCCTGGGATGCGTACGGTGAGGATTGCACGTCTGCCAGGGTGGGATGTGGGGAGGTTGGAGGAACTTCTGGAGGGCCGAGGAGCTCGTGGCCAACTATGGCATTTGTCATGAACTGGGTCCCAGAAAGCCCTTTAGAACTTGGGCCCTGGCCCTGCTGTTCCCATGCTACCAATACCAGTGGTGGCCGCTGATGCTCCAGGGACCTTACCTGGTTGGGGACTTGATTGTGTCAGAGTGGCATTGACTCTACCTCCAGTAGCTTCCTGTCATCCCTGCTGCCCAGGAAACTGTCCGAGGCCTTGGAAGGCCCATCTTATCTGTAGTGTTCCAGGCGAATATGATGGTCAGGTTTGGGCTTGCAGGGCCCGAGGTTGTGGGGCGTTTCAGGAGCCTCTGAGACCTTCCTAGAGGCTGGTGTCATTCCAGCTTCTCCCAGAGAAAACCGCAGGGTGCAGTGCTGCTGTGATGGTGACCATATCTCTTCCAGGATGGGGTATCGGGGAGGGTCCGGGCGGCAAGACCTCAAGGCTGGCCAGGGCCTGCGGGGCTGAGGGCCAGGCTGGGATTGTGGGCCGTGCTTGGGCTGCATGAGATCTTCAGGCCCTGCCCCCCACCTTCCTCCCTGAAAGGGACTTGGGGCCTGGGGGAAGAGCACAGGAGGAGTTTCCCTGGGGTCAGGCCTGGAAAGTCCAGGAAGCTCACCCCTGAGTCTCCTCGGGTGAATCTGCAGCAGTGACTGGTTGTCTTGGGCTCAGGGAATTGTAGAAAGGGCATAGAGCCCCCTGCCTCCCTCCCCACCTCCCGTGAATGAGGTTCATTCTTAGAGATCTTGTCTGGAGGCTGGGCATGCAGTGGGCACTCTGGCCCACCTGTCTTCCCTGTGTAAGGCAGTCACCTGAGCCTGAAGGCCTGGGCCTTCCTGCCTTTATTGAGTCCTGAGACCTTGGGGCTTCACAGCTGAGGTGGGACCGAGAACTAGCTGGCGTGGTTAGTCCCGGCTCGGGCTGGAGTGGAGAGGTGTTGTGGAGGCCAGGAGGAGCACAGGACACGGAGTCTAGCCCACCTGGATCACATCCGGACTTCATTGCTTCCTCCCTGTGTCATCGTGAGCACGATTCTTCACCTACCCCAGCCTCAGTTTCCTCATCTGTAAAATGGAGTTTCTCATATCCTGCCCCAGAGGGCTTTTGCAGAGGTTCCATGAAATACCATATGTGATATGATTGGGGCCCCTTCCTTGCCTAGAGCACAGAGAAGCAAGTCTAGGGGAGCACTGAGGCTGACCTGTGGGAAGGGGTGCAGTCTGACCCAGCCTGAGCGTGGAGTCACTCTGTGTGAATGGCCTGCTGGTCTGACCCCAGTGCTGCTGACGTTAACAGGGCCTGCAAACATGGCTTTTGCCCTTCTCAGAAACATGAGCCTTCACTAGCAGGCTAGACTTTGCTCTCTTCCACCCGAGCCTCTGCCAGGGGCTGCCTCCTGACCTGAGAAGGTACGGGCTGGGTTGCCTCCTGACCTGAGAAGGTATGGGCTGGGCTGGCAGATGGGAGAGGAGGCCAGGCAAAGCCAGACATTGGGGCACCCTGGCAGGGGCTCAGGCCTGCTGGGCAGGACCCCTAGCAATGGGGCACGGTGGCCTGTCCCCAGAACTTCAGACTGATGGCTGTCCTGGAGAAGGAGCTGGGTTTTCTATGGATGCCGACAAAGCTGGGCCAGACTGCAGGGTGCCACCAGTGGAAATGATGGCTGTTGTCTTCCTGAGA
Source organism: Homo sapiens (assembly GCF_000001405.40). Classification (NCBI taxonomy): domain Eukaryota; kingdom Metazoa; phylum Chordata; class Mammalia; order Primates; family Hominidae; genus Homo; species Homo sapiens. The sequence continues at coordinate 20,215,090 of NC_000002.12, read as the reverse complement.
GTGAGAGAGCCCTGTGGGCTTCACTGTGATGGGTGGTTCATGGCATGACTGCCAGAGCAAGACTGCTGGCTTCAGTGGCTGTGTGCCTTGGGACAGATGACATAGCTCCTTTGCCTCAATTTTCTCATCTGTAAAATGTGCATGGTACTAGAACCTAAGGTGACTGTGAAGATCAAACTAATTAATTCAGAGAAAGTGCTTGGAAAAAACTGATTGCCAGCTCCTCTGGCCCAGAGGACTCAATAAACATTAGCTATGATCACTTTTTCTCCCTAGAGCCTAATTCAGTTGTTTCTATTCTTCAAGTAATCTCCAGTCCAGATCAGAGGCTTAGACTCTTCTTCCACCACACCCCCTGCCCACCAACTCCCCTGGTAGTCCCTGAGCTCTGGGCAAGGCATGTGGCTACTTCCCTTTCCTAGGGTCATGCTGAGCTTTTCAGACTGGAGCTGTGTCCACAGTCTCCCTTTCAGCCATCTCAACACCCACCGTGTGCAGAGGCTGAGAGGGCTAGGAGCTCTGTGCTGGGGGTTGGAGGCTGTGCAGATCTGCCAGCCCATCAGAGGGAGGGCAAGCCACTTGACCTGGGGCCCTGCCAGTAATCTGGAGGATCCACCTGGCTTCCCAGGTGGCTTCTCCCTCTTCAGAGAGAGCCGTCACAGAAAATTCTGTCTCCCATCCCCCAAACCAGAAGGGACCAGCCCCACCCTCCCCTGGGACTCCTTCAGGGACACTCTGCCTTCCCGTGTCTCTGGGCTTCTCAGCAGCCTCAGTGCTTACTCAATCTGAATTGTTCTTTATCTGAGAGGCAGGTTCCCAGGCTAGCCCATTGTTCTGTACGTGGGAGGAGAAACCGTGTACATCTGTGACTCCAGGAAGAGCAAAGAGAATTTCTTCCTCCTTTCCTGGGTATGGCATTGTTGGCATCCACATTTTGACAAAGGTTAAAAACTTTGCCCTTGACATCTTCCAGCCTCTCTGTTGTAATCCTGTTCCCTCTCCCAGAGCTCCCACCTACCCGCAGTGGCCTAGTTCCAGAGTTAGCCCCTCCCCACCTGGAAGTGATTTATGCTGTAGTGTGAGTGCTGGTACCCTTTAGCCTTCCCAGAGGACTTGTTTTCAAAGGGATATTGTGCAATGACAGGGACACTGATAGGAGAGATTTTGGTAATAAAGTTGGAGCTTGTTCCCCTCCCCCACCTTCACACACAGCTGGAGCCCTGGCCGGCTGCAGGTGTGTCAAAAGTGCAGTTTCTGCCTCTGTGAAACTTGAGGACACTTTATTTAGCAAGTACAAGGGGGAGGATGTCCCTAGAAGTCCATCTGGCAGAGGTGCCCCGGTCCCCAGGTCCGGTGGCTACCCATTCCAGGGGACCTGGTGGGGACTGACAGGGCTGGGCTTCTCAGTAAGGGCCGACTGGGGAAATCTTGGCTGAGATTCTGACCTTGGTGGGCTCTTTAGGGCAGACAGGGCTGGGGGAGGGACAGTGCTTTGGAGGCTTGGCTGCCCCCTCTGTCCCCATAGGGTGCCAGTTGCCCCACGGTCACCTTGATTTAGGATATCTCTGGCATCCTGCCTAAGCCATGACTCCCCTTGGGAAGCTGAGGGTGATGATACCAAGTCAGTGTGATCGAGTGTCCTTGTGGGTCCCTAAGTGGGGGGTGTTTGGCGAGTCTTGGGAGACAGATCCCTTGTTTGGCTCTCGGAGCAGAACTAGGCACTGAGGCTGCAGGGCCTGGGTTGGGTTGCTTTGCTCATCGCCTGCCTGGATGAAACCTTGCCCTGCCTGGCCTGGCCCGGGTTTTGCCAGGGGGGGAAAGCAGAGGAACTGGTCTTCCAGCTCCACGGCTCCACGCCCAGCCCTCAGCTGAGCCTGTTCTGAGACCAGTCCTGGCATGTGGGCTGCTGAGGCAGGCGCCAGCTCTGTGGAAGGGTAGGTATGGGGGTGCTGGGGGCAGCACTGGCTTGGCTTGGGCATCGGAGCTGGCATGAGGCTGCCAGGATCCCTCCTCCTTCAATAAACGCCCCCGGTGTACTGTGAGCAGGCAGTGCGGTGCAGGGCAAAAAGCCCAGGGCTGGGAGGCTCGGCTCTGCGACCTTGACCTCAGGCTTCCCATCTGTAAAGCCCTGACCTCACACTAAATGGAAAATATTACCCGAAAGTAGTCTTGAAGGCCAAATGTGAATGCCGTCCCTCCACCCTGGCCCTGCCCTGGAAGCCCCCAGGACAGTGAGGGGTCCGTCTCCAAGTGGCAGGGTGGGGCTGTGCTTGGGGGTGCCGTCCAGAGTGTCCCCGAAAGGTGCTCCTCCTCTCAGAAGTGCTGCTGGGGACAGCCTCCTCTTCCTGCCCATTTCTGTCTCCCTCCTGCCCTGGGCCGGGCCCATCACTCCCTGCCTGTCATACCCTCGGCAGGCCCCGGCTTGCCTTGTTCTCAGTAGAGAGCCAGTGAGCTGATAAATTGCTGTGCCTGTCACCGGAAATGCTGATGCTGCCTTGAGGCCCCAGTGAGGCCCCTCCTCCTGGGAATGGCTTCAGTGGGGGATTTCGGGTCTGGAGGCCCAGACCCCATCTGCAGCCTCAGCCTGCCTCCCTGGCGGGCTGTGTTTTCCCGGCTCCTGAGTTCGGAAACCAGCCTTAGGAGAGGAGTGATGTGTCTAGCACTTCCTCCACAACCCCGAGGCTGGGGGAGCCCAGTGTCTCCTGGCCTGTGGCCCTGCCCTGCTGCCTACTCCCACGAGTCCCACCATTTTGGCCAAACCTCCGTTGTACAGATGGACAACCTGAGGCAAGGTGTTTCTGGCACCACCCCGTAATTTAGGGACAGAGGCCAGACTGTCACCAGACTATCCCCATGTTGGACCTGGTCATTTTCCCTGGGCCACCCTCTGGTGATCAGTGCTGTGGGTCCCTGAGGAGGGGGCATTTGGAGAGTCTTGGGGGACAGAACCCCTGTCTAGTTCCCAGAGCAGCACCAGGTGCTAAAGCCGCGGGGCCAGCCTGTCAGCCGTAAAGCACTTTAGCGTTATCCACCAAGCCCCTTCTGGCGTCTAGGTGGAGAACAGGTCTAGAGAGAGGCTGAAAGCTGCCCAGGTCCCCAGCACGGGAGCCGCATGGCGGATTCCAGCCCTTTCCCAGAGACCCTTGCTCCTGGGTGCTCGGATATGACCTGCCTGCTCAGTGCTTAGGCCGTTTTCAGTCCAGGCTGAAGGAAAGGGTCACAGGGCTCCCCACAGAGGGAAGGCAGCCACAGATCCACACTGCAGGGCACTGAGGCGTTCGGAAGGCAGTGGGACTGGGAGAGGGTGTTGCAGCTTTTTCTCCCGTGCCCTCCCACTGGTACCCCTGGAAAAGCAGGACCAGGCCCTGCAGCCTGTGCTGCCTTCCAGGCCCAGCCTTCGTCCCCGGAGCCCACCTGCCTGTCAGCTCCAGCAGCTGTCTTCTGCTCAGCCCTGCTGGGTCCAGCCGGGCCGGCTGGTGGGAAGCCAGTGGGCTCAGCCCCAGGCACGAAGGAGCCTCAGCCCAGCTTCAGGTAGACACTTCCCAGTCATGTAGGTGCTTCTGGATGTTCAGTGGGCCTTCAGCTCCTGGGGGAGGGAGGCTGGGCTGCCACCGTGGTGTGCTATCTATGCGAGTGGACGTGTCGGAAATGTAGAGGACATTGCTGAGCTTTCCCTGGTCCTTTGGCCACTAGAGCTTGTTCACAGGGCTCTGTTGCTACTCAGTGCCTTGACTTTGAACACTGGACTCAAGTGAAACGAGCTCTTGCCTCCTCCAGGCTGGGCCACTCTGGGGGATGCCTTTTCCTCCCCTCATTGTTTTCAAAGTGCAGTCTGAAGACCCCCTACAGGACCTGGGGCTTGTGAATGACAGAGTCAGCCTCTGGGCGGGGAACTCGAAAGACTTCATTTGTAGTGGTCTCCTGGTGATTCTTGGGGACCCTGAAGCTGAGAGCCCCCAGTCTGGATGCAGGTGATGGTTTGGTTATCACCCTCAGCCAGTATGGTGTCTTGATGCAGAGGTGGGGGTAAAGGCTGGGGCTCTGCAGCTCAGAGATATCAGCCCCCAAGAGTCCTGAAGTCTAGGGGAGGGGAGAGTCAGCCTGTTTTCCTTGTATGTGTAGATCTGACTGAGAAACCAAGGGGGTAAAGAAGATTTCTAAACAACTGTGACCCTGTTTCAAGCCTCCTGAGGACATTTGCCATTGTGTGGAATCTCGGGATGGGGAGGGTGGGTGTCCAGCCTGCCATGACCATGGGCCCTCCTGCCTCATGACCTCGCAGCCTGGGCTTCTGGAACAGGTCTGGGTCTCTCCTGTCCACTGGCCCCAGAGCCAGTGCCATGGCCCCTGGTCCAGGTTGCTTGTCAAAGGTGGTGACCTAGCTCCTTTGATAAGGGGCAGCTCTTTATCCCTGGTTTGTTGGGGTTTGTTGATTCAGTGACTGGGCTCCCACAGAAGCCGGGGATTTCGTGGCCACACGGGGCAGGTACAGCTGACAGATCAGCTTCCCTTTCCTGCTCCACCACGAATGACTGCGAATCAGAGGCCCCCTGCGCTGCCCAAGTTAGTGCCTGGGGTGAGCGTTGTCTTATCCTCTCCTGAGTTGGTTTGGGGGCTTCAAGGCCTGGCCTTAGTAGTCCCCTTAGGGAAGCCCTCTGTACTTCAGCCTCTGAAGCTCCCCCTTTTTAAATCCCCCTGGAGCCGGACACCTGGCCATATGTTCTGAGGAGCTGGGAGCTCTGCCGGGCCAGGACCAGACTGTTTCTTCCCTCTTTTCTCCAAAAGCTCCTGGCGTGATCTTGGCTCACTGCAACCTCCACCTCCTGGGTTCAAGTGATTCTCCTGCCTCAGCCTCCCAAGTAGCTGGGAGTACAGGTGCACACCGCCACGCCCAGCTAATTTTGTATTTTTAGTAGAGACGGGGTTTCACCATGTTGGCCAGGCTGGTTTGGAATTCCTGACCTCAGGTGATCCGCCTACCTCGGCCTCCCGAAGTGCTGGGATCACAGGCGGGAGCCACCGCGCCTAGTAGTAATGCTTTTTAAGGGGTTTGTGTTTTACCCATCACTCACTTCAAGCAGCAGGTGACCAATGTCAGTGATTCAGGGTGCGGGCTGGAAACCAAAGGCCTTCTGACCTGGTGGCCTCAGGCTGATGGCGGGGGGTAGATGGGCAACCTCTCGGGTTAGCGACTGGGCCCGCTGCCCCCCGTCGAACCTGTCTGAGATGCCCACTGGACATCCTGGCTTCTGAGGCAGCCAAGGCACTTCTGAGCTGTCTTGCAGAGGAGCTGCAGCGCAGCTGCCCCTTAGCCCCAGGGCTGGCCAGGACAAGGGGCTCTGCTGAGACGGAGGTTGCCAAGGAGAGTGGCCCTCTTTACCTCTGTTACGGGAGCGAAAGCTGGCAGTTGGCTTGAGGCTGCCTTCTGGAAGCTTCTCTGCCAGCTCTCTGCCCACAGACTTCAGATGTGCTCTTTGTAATGGCTGGCAGCCGGTGATGATGACTCCCCATCCCTGGTGGCACAGGTCCCGTTCTGGTCTACGCCATTTCCTCTCCACCTCTCAAATGTGGGCTGGTCCCTGGGTAGCGTCACCACTGGGGCAGGCTCAGCGACTCCAGCTCAGTGAAACTCCATCCCACTGAGGAGCCTTAGACAGGTTTTCCTTAAAACTGATTGGGTCAACTGGTAGGGCTGGGGAGAGAGAAGGGGATGGCAGGTGAGGAGAGCAGTGCTGCTGCACGGGGAGTTGTAGTGTCTGGGCGGCCTTGGGCAAGTCCCTCACCTTTCAGAGTCTCTAGTCCTTATCTGCTAGAGACAGTGATCTCAGCCCCGCTGCCTCATCTGCAGGGGAGTTGTAGGGAAGAAAGAGGAATGGGTGGAAAGTGTTTCCAGCCTTAGAGAAGGCCGCACTCCTTCACACTCTCTTTCTTGCTGGGTCAGAGCCCTGACCCCAGGATTCTCTCCAGGGTCCCCAGGGTATGGCCAGGAGACCAGCATGGCTGAGATGGAGATGGGCTGACCTGACCCTTACTCCCTTACTCCCTGTCCCCAGACTCCAGGCAGTTGCCTCTTGATCCCCCAGCCCCTAGGCGAGCCAAACCTTGGGCTTTCTAATCAGTGAGCTTCTAGGGTCTGCGCTGTGGGTGGGGAAGGGGCAAGGCATCCCTTGCTTTGAACAACAGAATGAGTGGAAGCCTAGATCTTACCTAGCACAAAGTTGTTGATTCGTTCTATGAACAGTTGGTTTTCCTGGGACTTACAGAGGTTAAAGGCTGGTTAGCCTGTTGCCTTCCTGGGCAGGGCATTAGGTAGTCTCCAAGCTGAGGCCACCTGTTCCTGAGCAGCCTTGAGCCGTGGCCAGGCAGCCTCGGAAGCACCCAGGTTGGAGATGATGCTGGGGAGAGCTACCCAGGAGGCCTAGAGGGAGTTTGCTGCCGGCTGTCAGCACAGCAGGCCTGCTAAAGGAAATCGAAAGTCTCACCAGAAACTCCGGGAGTCAGCTGGCACCTTGGTAATCCAAGTTCAAACTCAGCAGTTTCTGCTAATTTCCTCCTCAGGGGGCTGAAATCTCACCTTCTCATCTGAGGGGCTGTCCCAGAAGATTCAAGCTGGAGAAGATTTGGGAGGTCTCTCTAGCCTGTCCCCTTAGTGGAGACTGAAGGCCCAGGGAGGGGAGAGGCCCCCGGAGGCCAGGGAGCTGGTTTCAGTGGAGAAAACATTTGCTTAAGAGCTTGTTGTGTAAACAAGATTGCAGAGGGATAAGCCAGCCGAACTGAGGGAACAAATTGTTTTTAGGGACAGGGCAGACTGAAATGCTTATCTAGTCAGGAGGAAAGCCCTGCTCTTGGGAAACTGCTAACGTGTTGGGGCCTCCCTGGCGTTCCTGGGTCTCACTGGGCGGTGTCTCCCAGGTTGTACATGGGCCCCAGTGTGTGTGTCTTCCCTGTGGGCTTCGGTTGCCTCATTGTTGAATGGAGCATGGATCCAATGGTTCTAGCTTCTGCTGAAAGATTCGGCACTCTACAATGCAGCAGAGGCTCGTGGGGTCGAAGTGCCAGTGCCTTGCCCCATCCCTGCCCCATCTTGAGCTTTCTCTTGGGGGAGGCGGTGCAGCAGGAGAGGGCAGGGCAGAGTCCTTGGATGAGAGTGAAGCCATGATCCCAGTGAGTATGGGTGGGGGTGCCCACTCTGTGATCCCCCGGTGGGCAGTATTCTTTGATGATGAAGGAGACAGGTTGAGGGAGGCCAGGGCAGCTTCAGAGCTCTGGGAAGGCAGCACAGGTGTTTGAAGCACCACATGGAGATGTTGTAGATCGGATGTGGCCTTGTGTGGAGGCGGGGGGAGCATGGACCATGACTGTTTGTTTTTATTGATTGATTGATTGAGACGGAGTCTTGCTGTGTCACGCAGGCTGGAGTGCAGTGGCACAATCTCAGCTCACTGCAACCTCTTGCCTCCCGGATTCAGGGGATTCTCCTGCCTCAGCCTCCCAAGTAGCTGGGACTATAGGCCCGCACCACCATGCCTGGCTAATTTTTGTATTTTTAGTAGAGATGGGGGTTTCACCATGTTGGCCAGGCTGGTCTGGAACTCCTGAGCTCAAGTGATCCTCCCAAAGTGCTGGGATTACAGGCGTGAGCCACTGCACCAGTCAAGTCAATGACTGTTTATTGTAGATGGGCCATGGTGGACTGTGACTGTTCATTGCAGGTGAGCCTTGGCGGAATGTGACTTGTTACTGTAGATGGGCTATGAATTGCCCTTCTAGGGTCAAAACCTTTCTCTTGGGGGAAGGAAGATACAGTTTAGCTTTTGTCCTTTCAAAGGAAGTTCAGTGTTATTTCTGACCTTGTGGTTTCTACACGTGTCTGACGCTTCCCTCTGACCTAGGCCCCTGGACGTGGAGCCTCCACCTGGTCTGGCTCTGCCCCAGGGCTGCCTCAGGAGGCAGGAGGTCTTGTCTGTCCCTCTCTGCTTTGCACTACCCAGAAGTGAGACCCGTGGGCCTGTGGCCAGGGCCTGGCAAGGCCTCTTGGGCTGAGGAGGCCCTTTTCCTTTGGAGCCCAGCCTCAGGTGGGCCCCCTCTGACAAGTCAGTGCAGAGGCTTCTGGTGAACAGACTTCTTCCTGCCCCCGTCTTCTCATGAAACTTTATCTACCTCCCTTTCACCCTCTTTCTAGACAGGCCTGCTGGCATTTGAGGCTCCCCTAGTTAGACAGTGGCCACTGTTTGTGGGTGCCCACTGGGTGCCAGGCTGTGTTAGGCATAGCTTCATTGAATTTTGGCAGCAGTCCTGGAATGTAGATGTTATTATTTCCCCATTTTACAGATGGAGAGACAGAAGCCATAAGCAGTTTAATGACATCCCAGGACCACGCATCTAGTGAGTGGCAGGATCCGGAGTTCCTAAAGCTAGTGCTCTGGACTGTGCTGTTCTGCATATTTTTTCATTCTTTGTTCTGGTCCCAGACATTGGGGCCCTCTCAAGATAGACTGTGTAGTGAGTGGGGTCCTTGGGTCTAAGTCTCGCAGGTGAATAGGGCTCTCAAAGCCACACTTCTCGCCACCTGGCTGCTGGGTTCTCTCTTCCTTACCTGAGGTCTTGGGGCCAGTGTGAAGGGCAGAGGCAGTCCTGACTTTCTGCCCTCCCTGCCGACCAGGGTTCTGCACAGGCCTGCTCACTGTGTGTGGCGTGATCCTGCCTCCCCGCCCCCGCCCCCGGTCCTGCCAGTCAGCCCCGGCCTCAGGAACTGGAGAGATGTGTATATGTTTGCCCTCTGGCCCCTTTGCCTCTTGGAGCTGGGCAGGCGGGCAGCATTCCTGGGACTGCTGTTTGCCAGCAGGGCCCGTCCCAGGCCCACAGCCCACTTCTTGGAGGCTTGTCAGTGCAGGGCCCCTTCCAGATTAGCCTTATATGTCCCCAGCCTGATGGACACCCTGTCCTTCCTTCCCCAAGGAGGATGATACTCTGACCAAAGGGCCTGCACCCAGTCTTTACTATAGACAGGAACTGGGCCAAGTGTGGGAAGGTGTATCAGGGCCAGGCCTGGGGTTGCCCTGTGTGGGCAGACCTGCCTCAGAACAGACAGTTCCTTGTGCCCAGCCCTGCCCCTGCCCCTTGTGCCGTCCTCGGTATCCACACCTGGGGGCCAGCATGCCTGGAGGCTGCCTCTGCACCCAGGTTGTCCTGAGATTGTTCTTGGGGGTTTTTGAAAGCCTCTCAGTGGGGCTGGGTCGGCAATCTTTGGCCCCAAAGCTCCCTGGCTGATGGCCCCCAAGAGCTGGTTCACAGTGTAGGGTGGGCTGATGGGGTCCCATGGGGACCACAGCCTCTGTTCCCAATAACAGCTCCCTGTCTGCCCTTCTGAGAGGTCTGGAGCTCCCTCACCAGACTGAGCTTCTCAGGGTGAGGGCCCTGCCTACTCTGTTGTGCCCCTGCAGCCCTGCACCCAGTACCAGGCTGTGTTGTAGCATCAGGGGATGGGGCCTGGGGACCAAAGTGCTGCCCAGAGCTGAGGGTCCTGGAGCCACATGAGAAGGCTTCTCCCTGTGTACCTGTGCAGCACAGGGTAGGGTGAGTCCACTCAGCTGTCTAGGAGAGGACCCAGGAGCAGCAGAGACCCGGCCAAGCCTTTACTCATACCATATTCTGATCCTTTTCCAGCAAATTGTGGCTACTAATTTGCCCCCTGAAGATCAAGATGGCTCTGGGGATGACTCTGACAACTTCTCCGGCTCAGGTGCAGGTGAGGTTGTCATGGGGGCCCCCCCCACCCAAGACGGCAACAGGTCATGCCTGTGGGCAGTGGTCAGGCAGTCTCCTGTGTTTACTGAGCATGTACTGAGTGCACCCTGCCTGCCCTGTCTCCACCCAGCTGGCTCCAAAGGGCAATGCTGAGGAGAGGAATGGGGTCCGTGAGCTGCCTGGTTAAGGAGAGCTCATGCTCGGAGGTGAGGTGAAGGCTGTGAGCTCCAGAAGGCCCCAGGGCCGCCTGCTGCACGCAGGCTCATATTCACTAGGAATAGCTTTACTCACTAAGAAACCTCTGGAACCCCCTTCAGAAGGTTATTTGACTCCTGAGCCTCTGTTTTCTCATCTGCAAAATGGGAATAATACCTTGACCTGATAAGCTTGTGGAGCTGTAAGGCAGCACAGAGCCAGCTGGGGTGTAGCTCTTCCATCCAAGCTCCCTTCCTTACTTCCCCTTTCCCTGTGGGGGACTGGGGGAGAGAAGTCCCTGAGCTGGAGGTGGTCAGGGAAGCTTCACAGAGGAGGTGGCTCTTGAGTGGACCTCAGAAGAGGGGTGAGAGAGCTAAGGAAGGAGGCTGAGGTCATCCCTGGGGAAGTGACCTAGCGGAGGCCTGAGAGCTGCAAGGTAGGATATCTGTTGTTGGAAGTGTCTGTTGTTGGAAGTGGGGGCCTTTTTTTCAGGGAGGGTGGGGCCAGAGAAGTGTGTGCCCTGGGATAAGTAGGATAACCACAGTAGTTATGCCCCTAAGGGATGCCCACCCCACCCCTGTGGTCACAGAAAAGCTTTCCCAGGTGGCCTAGGCACCTGTCTCGTGGCTCCAGAGACCAGGCTGCACCTGGACACACACAATGGGAAGGGACAGCTCTCCTTGTCCATTTTCCAAGGAGCTTAGCCTCAGCTGCCTTGTCCAGGTACTAGCCTCCCTCATAGCCTGAGCTTGGCCAGCCCAGGTGCTCTGGAGCCTCCCCCGACCCACCCAACACACTCTGCTTCTGGTCCTCCCCACCCCCCACCTCCCCAACACACTCTGCTTCTGGTCCTGCAGGTGCTTTGCAAGATATCACCTTGTCACAGCAGACCCCCTCCACTTGGAAGGACACGCAGCTCCTGACGGCTATTCCCACGTCTCCAGAACCCACCGGCCTGGAGGCTACAGCTGCCTCCACCTCCACCCTGCCGGCTGGAGAGGGGCCCAAGGAGGGAGAGGCTGTAGTCCTGCCAGAAGTGGAGCCTGGCCTCACCGCCCGGGAGCAGGAGGCCACCCCCCGACCCAGGGAGACCACACAGCTCCCGACCACTCATCTGGCCTCAACGACCACAGCCACCACGGCCCAGGAGCCCGCCACCTCCCACCCCCACAGGGACATGCAGCCTGGCCACCATGAGACCTCAACCCCTGCAGGACCCAGCCAAGCTGACCTTCACACTCCCCACACAGAGGATGGAGGTCCTTCTGCCACCGAGAGGGCTGCTGAGGATGGAGCCTCCAGTCAGCTCCCAGCAGCAGAGGGCTCTGGGGAGCAGGTGAGTGGCCTCTGCATTCCTTGGGAAATTGAGTGGGTTGGTCCTAATGCCTGGCACTTGGCAGGCCCTACACCTGTGCCCTGCGGGCATCTCGTATTCCTCACCAGGAAGACAGGGCACAGGGGCCCGCCTTCCCCTACCCCCAGGGCCTCGCCCAGAGCAGGACAGACTAACTATGAGATCAGAGCAGAAGCACCCTTAAAGATCACCCAAGAGAGGGCTCCCCAAACTCACAATCCAAACTTGCAGCCCCTGCTGCAAGAGTGAACGTTATACCAAGTCCAATTTTTTATTTTATAGCTTCGTGGGAATTTTACGCTTTACACTAAAATAAGTCTGCTTATTTCCATACAAAAATGTGTGCTTTGTATCACTTTTTGTGATATCCATGCCATGGTCCAGCCAGGGTCCGGAGTTGATGTGGCAAGAAGGCCTGGCTTTCGGGCCCTGTGCGATCCTGGTTTGGGTGCATCTGAGTGGGTGGTGGCAAAGATCAGGGAGGCAGGAGCTGCTTCTGGGTCTTGTAGTGGAGCTGGTTGCTGCTGCTGGCGGTGACCTGGCCAACCCAATCTGCCCCTGCCCTCCCACAGGACTTCACCTTTGAAACCTCGGGGGAGAATACGGCTGTAGTGGCCGTGGAGCCTGACCGCCGGAACCAGTCCCCAGTGGATCAGGGGGCCACGGGGGCCTCACAGGGCCTCCTGGACAGGAAAGAGGTGCTGGGAGGTGAGTTTTCTTTCAGGGGGGTAGTTTGGGGTGAATTGCTGCTGTGGGGTCAGGGTGGGGCTGACCACAGCCAAGGCCACTGCTTTGGGGAGGGTCTGCAGCAGAGCCCAAGGAGCCGCTGAGCTGAGCTGGCCCCGTCTACCTGCCCTAGGGGTCATTGCCGGAGGCCTCGTGGGGCTCATCTTTGCTGTGTGCCTGGTGGGTTTCATGCTGTACCGCATGAAGAAGAAGGACGAAGGCAGCTACTCCTTGGAGGAGCCGAAACAAGCCAACGGCGGGGCCTACCAGAAGCCCACCAAACAGGAGGAATTCTATGCCTGACGCGGGAGCCATGCGCCCCCTCCGCCCTGCCACTCACTAGGCCCCCACTTGCCTCTTCCTTGAAGAACTGCAGGCCCTGGCCTCCCCTGCCACCAGGCCACCTCCCCAGCATTCCAGCCCCTCTGGTCGCTCCTGCCCACGGAGTCGTGGGGTGTGCTGGGAGCTCCACTCTGCTTCTCTGACTTCTGCCTGGAGACTTAGGGCACCAGGGGTTTCTCGCATAGGACCTTTCCACCACAGCCAGCACCTGGCATCGCACCATTCTGACTCGGTTTCTCCAAACTGAAGCAGCCTCTCCCCAGGTCCAGCTCTGGAGGGGAGGGGGATCCGACTGCTTTGGACCTAAATGGCCTCATGTGGCTGGAAGATCCTGCGGGTGGGGCTTGGGGCTCACACACCTGTAGCACTTACTGGTAGGACCAAGCATCTTGGGGGGGTGGCCGCTGAGTGGCAGGGGACAGGAGTCCACTTTGTTTCGTGGGGAGGTCTAATCTAGATATCGACTTGTTTTTGCACATGTTTCCTCTAGTTCTTTGTTCATAGCCCAGTAGACCTTGTTACTTCTGAGGTAAGTTAAGTAAGTTGATTCGGTATCCCCCCATCTTGCTTCCCTAATCTATGGTCGGGAGACAGCATCAGGGTTAAGAAGACTTTTTTTTTTTTTTTTTAAACTAGGAGAACCAAATCTGGAAGCCAAAATGTAGGCTTAGTTTGTGTGTTGTCTCTTGAGTTTGTCGCTCATGTGTGCAACAGGGTATGGACTATCTGTCTGGTGGCCCCGTTTCTGGTGGTCTGTTGGCAGGCTGGCCAGTCCAGGCTGCCGTGGGGCCGCCGCCTCTTTCAAGCAGTCGTGCCTGTGTCCATGCGCTCAGGGCCATGCTGAGGCCTGGGCCGCTGCCACGTTGGAGAAGCCCGTGTGAGAAGTGAATGCTGGGACTCAGCCTTCAGACAGAGAGGACTGTAGGGAGGGCGGCAGGGGCCTGGAGATCCTCCTGCAGACCACGCCCGTCCTGCCTGTGGCGCCGTCTCCAGGGGCTGCTTCCTCCTGGAAATTGACGAGGGGTGTCTTGGGCAGAGCTGGCTCTGAGCGCCTCCATCCAAGGCCAGGTTCTCCGTTAGCTCCTGTGGCCCCACCCTGGGCCCTGGGCTGGAATCAGGAATATTTTCCAAAGAGTGATAGTCTTTTGCTTTTGGCAAAACTCTACTTAATCCAATGGGTTTTTCCCTGTACAGTAGATTTTCCAAATGTAATAAACTTTAATATAAAGTAGTCCTGTGAATGCCACTGCCTTCGCTTCTTGCCTCTGTGCTGTGTGTGACGTGACCGGACTTTTCTGCAAACACCAACATGTTGGGAAACTTGGCTCGAATCTCTGTGCCTTCGTCTTTCCCATGGGGAGGGATTCTGGTTCCAGGGTCCCTCTGTGTATTTGCTTTTTTGTTTTGGCTGAAATTCTCCTGGAGGTCGGTAGGTTCAGCCAAGGTTTTATAAGGCTGATGTCAATTTCTGTGTTGCCAAGCTCCAAGCCCCATCTTCTAAATGGCAAAGGAAGGTGGATGGCCCCAGCACAGCTTGACCTGAGGCTGTGGTCACAGCGGAGGTGTGGAGCCGAGGCCTACCCCGCAGACACCTTGGACATCCTCCTCCCACCCGGCTGCAGAGGCCAGAGGCCCCCAGCCCAGGGCTCCTGCACTTACTTGCTTATTTGACAACGTTTCAGCGACTCCGTTGGCCACTCCGAGAGGTGGGCCAGTCTGTGGATCAGAGATGCACCACCAAGCCAAGGGAACCTGTGTCCGGTATTCGATACTGCGACTTTCTGCCTGGAGTGTATGACTGCACATGACTCGGGGGTGGGGAAAGGGGTCGGCTGACCATGCTCATCTGCTGGTCCGTGGGACGGTGCCCAAGCCAGAGGCTGGGTTCATTTGTGTAACGACAATAAACGGTACTTGTCATTTCGGGCAACAGCTGCTGTGGTGGTGGTTGAGTCTCTTCTTGGCCTGGCGATGTCCAGCCGTGTCACCTTCTAGGGGTGGGAGCCTGGTTCTGGGCAATGCTCTGGCTTGGTACAGAACAGCAGAATTCATGCTGGTCCCTCCTGTCGTGGAAGACAGAGTCCATCTCTGCCCTCCTCCCCCAAACCCCTGTGCAGGCATTCAGCATCTCGCCTTCCTCCTCCCGGGGCTCTTGGCCCTCCTGCCCAGCACTCCTTGTTCCTTAAGGCTCCACTGGATCATTCCCTTCCTCAAGGACATGATGGGCTCCCTACTGATTCTCAAAGCTTGCTATTTATTCTTTGCTCACTGTGATTTCTGTACACTCACTAGCAACAGTCTTTAAGTGCCAGAGGTCTAAAAAAACCATGTGCCTAGTAGGGAAAAATGACAGTGAAAGACCTGGAGGTTGAGGCAGCACACTGCACCGCAGGGGTCCTTAGTGTCCTAGAGCATCTATTATAGCTGGCTTTCCAGTCTTGTCCAGGCTGCTGGCCCACTCTGTCCCTGGTGCAGGTCACCCCCTGACCCTAGACCCCAGACCCCAGACCCCAGGAATGGCCTGGGCCCTGCAGAGCAGGAGGGACCGTTTCTTCCCCGCCCCTGCACCTGCTGATGGAGCAGGGACTGCTGGCTCCAGGTGGCTTTGCAGGATGGAGAATTCTATTCTTCCTGACACATTGTGTTCCAAAGGGTTTGGAGGCCGAGATAAAGTTTTCCAGGTCATTTATTCATTCAACAAACACTGAAAATACCAGTGCCTATCTCCTGCCAGTTCTTGGACTGGACAGGGAGGGCCCACTTGTAGAATTGGCCATCAGATAGTAATACTTTTATTAATAACATATTAATAACCCTCCACATGGGACCTGCAAGGTTCCAAGACCCCAGCTCCCTGGGCTGCCTGTCCCCATATATCCAAATCAAACTGCACCCCGTCCCACCTCTTGGCCCTGCTTGTTCTTAATGCCCTCTCGCAACTCTGTGCTTCCATTCTGAGTCCCCCACCCCAGGGCACCCCCAGGGCAGGGCTGTGCCATCAAACAGACTGCCGCATGTTTGAGACTAACAGTAAAAAAGGTGGAGGTGTTTAAATGTCATCCTTGGGCACCCCTTCCTCAAGCAGTGACTGCCCACCTCCCCTTGGGCCTCAGCCTGCTGTCCTGTGTCGCAAAGCCTAATCCCCATCTCTCCACTTTCCCACTTGCCCTGCCTGGGAGGGGAGCAGTGGGCACTATTTCCTTTTTCCGTTCCCTTTACATCATGCCCACAGTCTGGCCTGGGTGTGGGGGAGAGTGTGTGTGTACATTGCATGGGCGACTCACTGGATCTTCTACTAAGACCTCTCCCAAGTTATTTTCTAAACGCACGAGCCATCTTCTCTCAGATCGTGCTGCACTCTCAATGTGCAGCCAGCTTCTGTTTTAAATAGCATTTTTTTGCCTCGCTTGCCTCAGGGGTTTTGCTTGGGATATGTTTTCATAGCCAGAATAAAGACCCTGCCTTCTATTCTGCTCTCTGCTCTCAGGGAGGTTGTGGCCAGAGGGAGCAGACAAATGACAGAGTGGTATCAATGACAGAGAACTGTGTGGGCTGTGGGGCAACAGGGCACCTAACCTGCCCAGCGTCTGGGTCATGGAGGTGCCAGAGGGTGGCTGAACTGGGTCTGGAAGGACAAATTCAAGTCAGTCTCTCACACGGGGAAGGGATGTCAGTAGAGGATGTGAAGTGCCGGCAGGTGCAGGAGGGAGGGGCTGGAATGCGGAGCGGCAGGGCTGCCCACAAGGGAGAGGGTGCCTCTGAGGGGCTGCAGGAAAGATGAAGGTGCAGAGGGCTGGGGGCCTGAGGCCTGGCCATGGAGCAGAGGTGAGGATTGATGACTTTGTAGGATGGGTGGGGAGGAGGGGCTGGTAAGAGGCAAAACTGGCTGCACCTGGGCGGCGTGCCCCTGCCTCACCTTGCTCTCCTACAGGGGAGCCTGGGGATGAGGCTGTGCTCTGAGTGGGCCATCTAGGGTGGAAGGGACAGTAGTCCCAGAGCTGGGCCTTGAGGTGGGCCATCTCAGGCTCCCTCCCAGGTAAGGCACTGCTGGTGCACGGGCCCCCCACAGCATCTGGGAGAAAGGGTTTTTTAAATGGGTCTGCAGGTACCGACTGTGCAGAGGAGCCCCGGGACCAGGACCACGCTCCCTCCGCTGAGGCGCCCTCTCCCTCACTCCAATTACCCTCTTCCCCTGCCCCTTCTCTCCAGCTTGGCAGAAGAGAAAGGAGGCTGGGCTGCCTCAGGAGGTGGTGAGCCCCTGGCACCTGGAGCTGAATGAGTGAGGAGCCTAGAGGGGCTTAGAAACTGCTTTGGGCCCACAGGCCCTAAAGCTGTTGGAGCTGGAGGCCCCCATTCTGCAGACTCTGCCTGGCCATGGGACCAGCCCTCCCCTGGCTTTCTCCCTTCCTCCCTCTCCCAACACCGCTGCGCCTCCCCAGTACATGAGCCGCGCCCACTCGTGGCGTGCACATGTGCAAGGATGGATTTGCCCCAGTGCAGGTCCTCAGCAGGTCCGCCCCACACCTGCTCTCCTTCAAGCCTGGGGGAGGCACTTGAGTCCTTTGTGTTCTCATAACTTCAGGTCATGCCTCTCGGGCACCTCCTGCCACATGACAGCAGGTATCTTTCTGGCTTCCTGCCACCCTGGGTGCTCCTGGAGGGCAGATGTTTCCTTGTGCAGCCTGGCAGGAGGCATGGCATTCAGGGGCTCACTGCGAGTAGGGGGGCTCTGCTTTTGGGGTGCTCATTGAGGCTGGCTGGTACTGCTACCCTGCTCTGAAAGTCAAGCAACATTTAGAAGATGTTTAACAGTGCAAGTCACCACCACACCCACCTCCCACCACCAGAAAGGCTGCTTTTAGGGATGGGCAACGTCGTGTTGTGGGGAGATGTCCCTAGGTTGTCGGAGGGAGTGAGAATTGATAGGAGCTCTTTGGAAACTCACTTGGAAATACTTACTAACACTAAACATATACCTACCCTATGATCCAAGCAGAATGAGAGCATATATCTGCTGAATGGTGTGTATAAGAATGCATGTAACAGCTTTATTCATCAGAGCTCAAACAGAAACTGCCCAAATGTCCTTCACCGTGAGAATAGATAAATGAATTGTGGTGTATTCACACAGTGAAATACTACTCAGCAACAAAAAAGGACAAGCTACGGACACGGGTACAACAGAGATGAACATCATGGGCATATATATTAAGCACAAGAAGCCAGACACAACAAAGCCTACATTGCATGATTCCATTTGTAGGCAGTTCAGGAACAGGCAAAACTAATTGATGATAATAGAAGCCAGTGCGTTCCTCGGGCTGAGGGTGTGGTATTGACTAGGCATGGACACAAAAAACCTTCTGGGGTGCGGAAATGTTCTCTGGCTTGATGTCGGTGGTGATTAGAAGGGTGAACATATATGTAAATAAATCATCAAGCTATACACTTAGACGAGTGCACTCTGCGTATGTTATTCCTCAATAAGAAAGTTAAAGGGAAGAAAAACGCTTATAAAAGGGCTTCTGAGATTCTAATTAGTTCCTTTAAATCTCACTGCAGCTTTTTCAGCAAAAATGAGGGAGGCCCACATGGTGTACGTTTTCTTCAGAATCCCAGAGGATTCTGATTTATGGGCAGAGAGGCCCAGGGCAAAAGCCTCTCACAGCTGTGTGCCGAGCAGAGCAAGCGAGTGGCGGCTTCCCTGAGCCTGATGGGGAAGGCGGAGCGGGCCCCCTCTTCAGACAGCGGGAGGGTGGGCACTGCCTGGAGGGCAGCCCTTGGGACCCCCTCCCCCAGCTGCAGCCAGGCCCTAGCTTCCTCTGGTTCCTGGAACCTGCCCTACCCAGCCGGTGTTTCCAGCACTTAAGGCTGGGATCTAAGCCGTTCTTCCACTCCAGGAAAATATTTGTTCAGGGACTTGGCACCCAAATAAGAGGAAATAAAAGCCACCTTGGAGTCAAGCGGGCGGCTCTGCTGCCGGCGGCTGTGTCTGCCCCTCCAGGTTGCCTCCGCAGGTGCCCAGGCCCGGCGTCTGGGGCCTGGCCAGGAACCTCACCCCACAGACAGGCCTGCTTAAGGATAAGCCTGGGGTGCCACTGTTTATTCATTCATTCAGTCAGTCATCTGTCAGTTCCGTCAACAAATGTTTATGAAACCTACTATGTGCCAGGCACAGTGCCAGGCCCTGGACATTGCCAGTGACCCAGGCCCCGTCCTTACCTTCAAGGCTGTTGCGAGGTAGTGAGGGAGGCTGGCAGCGTAGTAGGAGCATTGAGGGTATGGAGGTGAGGCCAGGGGGAGCCATCAGGCAGGCCCATACCACCAAGCACTTGGCAGGCACCTAGTATCAAGCCAAAGGAAACATAAGGTGAAATGAAGGGATGACCCAGAGGGGAAGGAGCATTCCAGGCAGATGGAACAGCATAGGCAAAGGCCCAGAGGTAAGACGGCACAGAGCTTTGTACTGTAGAGAGTTGATGGGGTTGGCTGGGGTTGGGGCCAGGAGTTCAGCACGAGGAAGTTGGAGGTGAAGCCGGAAGAACCTCCCTCCTGGGTGTAATGCTCAGGACTGTGGACTTTATCCCCAGAGCAGTGGAGGTTTTTATTTGTTTTGAAACATTTAAACACATTGATTTTGATTCTTTTTTAAATAGAAAAGTACAAAAAGAAAATTAAATTGACCTCAAATCTCACCACCTAGATATTTCCTTATGACCTTTAAAAAATTAAAATATGCATGTGCGCATGATTAGAAATCCAAGCAGAACAGAAAAGTCCAAAATGAAAAGTGAAATCCTCCTTCTCCTCACCTGTCTCTTGCCAAAGGCAATTTCATTTAATAGGTTTTTGGTTGCTGTTTCCAGAAATTTTTTCCGTGCACATACCTGTGAGGATAAGTCTACGCTTTTAAAAAGTTACACCAAAGGGGTGGGTCTATCCACGGGGACATACAGCTCCTTTTTCTGACCCAGTTTCATTTCGGTACGTGCAGACAGTTCTACCCCATTCATATAATGACTGCGGAGCATTCAGTTGTGCGGACGGACTGTAACTGACCCAATTCTTCCCTATTGGTGAGCACCTTATTTCCAGGCTTCTGCTGTTGTACACAGTGCAGGACTGAAGGTCTCGCGTGGGTATTTTAGGAAGCCATTATCAGTAAACACCTCAGAGGCTTTTCTAGCAGTGGACTCTGGATGGAAAGGAGTGTTCTTTGCAATTGCCCTCCAAAAACGTCACCCATTGGCCACACCTGTCCCTGTGTCCAAACTTCAGGTGGGAGTCTCAGAGACCACACCTTCAAATGGTTCCATTTTCTTCGTTCTGCTGGAGTGGGGGTTAGAGATGGTATCACATGGTTGTTTTGATTTTCTTTTATTTAATTTAATTGCAAATAAGGTTAGGAATCATTTCAGATGTTTTGTTTTGTTTTGTTTTGCTTTGAGACAGAGTCTTGCTCTGTTGCCCAGCCTGGAGGGCAGTGGCAAGATCTCAGCTCACTGCAACCTCCATCTCCTGGGTTCAAACAATACTCTTGCCTCAGCCTCCCAAGTAGCTGGGACCACAGGTGCACACCACGATGCCCAGCTAGTTTTTGTCGTTTTAGTAGAGATGGGGTTTCGCCATGTTGGCCTTGCTGGTCTCGAACTCCTGACCTCAGGTGATCCGCCTGCCTCGGCCTCCCAAAGTGTTGGGATGACAGGCGTGAGCCCCATTTCATATGTTTTTGCCATTTGTATTGCTTTCTGCTTAGAGGAATTGCATTGTCCTGTTTTCTGGCCCTTCTTCCTAAGGGGTTTTTGTTCTTTTTCTTGCTAATGGGTGTGGGTTCCTCATGTACTCATGACTTTGAGGGAGGAGCATGGCAGGCTTTGGTCTCCAAATGATCCTGCTGGCTGCTGTGGGAGGGGCTTGGGGGCCAGTCAGCTGGGAGGCCTGTGCAGGGTCCCTGTGAGAGGGGCCGTGGCCTGGAACAAGAGGTGGCCGCAGGAAGGGAGCCGTGACTGGATTCTGAAGATACTCAGGAAAGAGGACTGAGAGGAACAACCAGTGGGTTGATTTTATGCACAATAGTCCGGATAACTTTGGTTCAATGAAAAAAAATAAAGCAAAACATTGCCAATGGCCCTCCCGCGGCAGGGGCACATCAGCTAAGATTATCTTGACACAGGATTCTCGATAAGTCACACAGCAGACCAGAGTCCCCGCTGGACCATGGCCTGACAGCTTGCGCTGCTTCTCCTCTTCCCTGATGGAGAAGGGATGGGGTGATGAGGAGGCTGGTTCCCAGGTTCCCACTTCAAATATTATGGTCCCATAAGCCATGGAAACATCTCAGAAATTCCAGTATTTTACCACATAGTAACTGGCTGAGCCACGTGGGTCACTGTTAGGCAAGAAGCCATACAGATTCCCCGGGAAGGGAAACAGGGGCGTATAGGGCCTGAGTGCACAGGGTCAGGAGGTGTGAGGAGGGCCTTCTGGGTCCAGCTCGCTGCTCCGTGCAGAGCACATAGATTTACAGGGAGTGCTTCACAGATATCCACTAGGTGAAATACTTTTCTTTTCTTTTCTTTCTTTTTTTTTTTCGTGAGACACAGTTTTGCTCTCGTTGCCCAGGCTGGAGTGCAATGGCGCAATCTCGGCTCACTGCAACCTCCGCCTCCTGGGTTCCAGCAATTCTCCTGCCTCAGCCTCCCGAGTAGTAGCTGGGATTACAGGCATGCACCACCATGCCCAGCTAATTTTTTTGTATTTTTAGTAGAGATGGGGTTTTACCATGTTGGCTAGGCTGGTCTCAAACTCCTGATCTTAGGTGATGCGCCTGCCTCGGCCTCCCGAAGTGCTGGGATTACAGGTGTGAGCCACTGCGCCCGGTCTGAAATATTTTAATAATTCAAATTTATGTTACAGCCAAAATGAGTGGAAAAAAGGGGGCATGTAATGTTAAAAAGAAAATGTAATTTTTTCCTTTCTTAAAAAAAAAAAAACTAAGGTATATTTTACACACAGTAAAATTTGCCCTTATTGTTATACAGTCTTTTTTCAAATGCATGCAATTGTATAACCACCACTACAGTTAGGATCTGGAACAGTTTACTCATCCCCAAAACTTCCCTGCACCCTTTGTAGTCAACTCCTTCCCCACCCCTGGCTCCTGGCAGCCACTCATTGGTTTTCTGTCCCTGTAAGTGTTGCCTTTTCCAGATGTCCTATGAGTGGAATCATACAGTAGGAAGCCTTTTGAGTCTGGCTTCTTTCGTTTAGGAGACTGCATCTGAGCTCCATCCAAGCTGTGTGCTTCAGGAGTGTGTTCCTTTTCATTGCTGAGTAGTGTTCCGTGGTGTGGAAATGATGACTTTGTAACCACTCAAAACTAGAAAAATGCAAGTGCTCTTCAACTGTGAGCATTTCCTTATCTCTAGATTCATAAATCGAAACACTTCCTTTGTCCACCTATGAATCTTGATTTAGAATCCAGAAAGCATGGTCTGTTTGCCTGAGGCTGCGAAGTAACCTTGGAGAACCTGCAGAGGTGAACAGGCCCAGGGCCAGAGGGCAGGAGGACACTAGCTCCAGGGACCTTGGGCTGACTGTCTGGCCTTTTCTTGGGCAGGCCTAGCCCCAGTCCACATGGTGCCTCTGCAAATCCCCATTCGGGTGGGGTGCAGCTCAGTTAGCAGACAGCACCTCTGGCCAGTAGGAGAAAGTCACCCTGTCCCCCAGGCCTGTGAGCCTTGCACCTGGACAGCAGGATTTCAGCCCCCAGCTTGCTCCTTGACCTCAGCAAAGCCTGCACAGCCACGTGGACAGTTTAGGTCTGGACTAGATTTAAGGCTGAAAAGTCCTGAGACCTGCAGACCCAGGAGGCAGCAGATGGGCTGGCTGCCCTCAGAGCCTCAGGGCAAGCCTGCTGGGGTTCCCCTGGGCTGCCTCAGAGCCCCCTGTGGGCAATCTGGACCTCAGAAAGACCTTTCCGGCGCAGCATCTTTCTTCTTTAAATTAGAGACAGGGTCTATGTTGCCCAGGCTGGCCTCAAACTCCTGGCCTCAAGCAATCATCCTGACTTAGCCTCCCAAATAGCCTCCCAAATAGGGATTACAGGCGAGAGGCCCTGAGCCCAGTCCAGGGCAGCATCTTCGATCCCAAATCTGCAGAGCCCTTTCGAGGACAGAGCCTGGGCCATCAGCTGGGATACCTTCTCTAAGGGCGAACAGCTTCCCTCTGTGGGGCTTTTAACCCCCGTGTTAGCCCTTAAAGGGAAAGTGGGCATTGGGGAGCAGGAGACATGGTCCCCCTTCAGAACTCATGGGGGAGGTGGGAGGGCATGGTGGTCCAGAGAAAAACTCTGTAGCCAGATGTCTGGGCTCAAAATCCTGGTCCTGCCATTTTCCAGCCTCGTGACTAGTGCACAGGGTGTCTGTTGCAAGCCTGGGTGAGGTATGACATGGCCGCACATGGGCTACTGCCACCTCTCAGCACCTGATAGATGTTGTTGTTGGACCAGTGACAGGGCCACAGACTGAGACGGTGTGGAGCCCCAGGGTGACATCCGTTAACCAGGGCTGCCTCCTTCTGATCCTCAGCTTCCCCTCACCCATCAGATGTGGCCCCAGATGAGATGACTTCTCGTACTTCCCAGGATTCTGCCAGGCCAGGGTGACCAGGTCTGGTGAGAACCAGGCCGGGGGGCCTCAAGGATGCAGACTCCAGCCCCATCCTCCTGATAGGTGCTCCCTGCAGCCTGACGGCCAAGGAAGAGGGTCCACACTGGGCCCCTGGGTCCCCAGTGCAGGAGCAGCCTGGCCTCCCCTCTGGGTCCAGCCCAGCTACTTCTGAGGGTGGAAAATATCCCGTGGCACGAGGGCTGGGCTGAGTTCCAGCTCATGGCTGCCCGGACAGAGTCCACAGAAGAAGAAAGACTTTTACCAACTCTTTTTCTCTATGTGTTGCTCCAGGGACCTTGGGCTGACTGTCTGGCCTTATTCTCAAGGCTATATAACATTTTTATTTATTTTTCTCTTTGTAAATGAGGCTGTTTTGCCCTATCAGATGTGCTACCACTTGAACTCATTAGAAAAGACTGGTCGCTTGATGTGAAAGGTAAGGCCTTTCAGGCCTAAGAATCCAGACACACAGCAGGGCTTCTCGCAGGGGGAACTTAAGCATGCTTTGTGCATGAAATGGGGCACAATCCCTGCCCGCCAGGGGGAGCTTAGCTGTCCCTCAGATGTGCCTCTCCAGTACAGTGCCACACAAGGCTGACCAGCCAGGGCCGGCCCCTCCCCAGAGAGCGCTCACACCCACAGTGCTCAGGGGTCTTCACCATCCTTCCCTCATCGTATTCTCACACAAACTCGAGCTGTGTGGTGCTGCAGGAGTTATTCTGTTTCACAGGCGAGGAAACAGGTCTGGAGAGGATAAGGGTTTGCTCAAGGCGGCAGGCCTGGATCTTCGGGACTAGCTGGATATGATTTTGTGGCCCCTGGTGGAGACTGAAGTGGAGACAGCTTGAGGGGGCTGGCCTTGCTACTCACACACTATGCGTCCGAGCCTGACAGGCAGCCCTTCTTCCCAGCCCTGTCTGTTCAACTCCCTCCTTGCCTGCACCCCAGACAAGGGGAATTTCTCCCAGGAGCCAGAGGCCAGGCCGGGAGCCCAGAGCTGGCGCTCAGCAGTCTCTGCCCGCCCTGGCTGAGGGACTGCGTGAAACTGTTGCATCTCCTTACCCCTCCATTTCCTTATAGGGAAAGCAGGAGGGCCGGTGCCCACCTTCAGGCACAGATGAGACTTGGAAAGAGATTTAAGAAAACGCAGCGTGCCACTAAATGTCAGGCACCAAGATTCTGGTTAATTATGAATAAGGACTACCATTTCCAATATGCCTAGAATGTGCCAGGCTCTATCCATGCCTACCCTCCGATTTCAGGGACACAGAGTAATATAGTGGCAGGAGCAGGGGCTTTGGGGTTAGACCCCACTTTACTGGCTGTGTGACCATAAACTCCTTAGAACCTCAGCTCTGTCATCTGTGAAATGAACTCATCTCCTAGGGGCATTAAATAAAGTAATGGGAGTAAACTCTTCAGCATTTTGGTTTGGGCACTTTGCAAGCATTGCATGAATAGTGGCTATGACTCTGATGGTCGCAAAATCCCTGACAGGCTGGAATCCCCACCCTCTTTTCGCAAATGAGGAAATTGAGATCCAAACTGATTCTTCATGCAGCTCCTGAGTGGCCAAGCAGACGTGCAGACCCAGGTCTGTGCCGCTCCTGTGCCACGGTTGCTTCCTGTTCATCCATTCTGTCCCAGAGGACACCTGGACAGGCGTGGGAGAGGCTCTTCCAGGCTGGAGCTGCCCCAGCAAGCCCCGAAGCGGTTCCCAGGCATGGGAAAGGGTGGCCTCCCTGACACGCCTGGGTGCTGGCACCACAGTTACTAATGATGTATCCTGCAGGGAACCATGGTCATGAGAAGACAAACAACCAGGGGACAGATGGCAGCTCATTTCTACCCAGCCCCAGGCAGCTCCGTGTCCCTATGAGCCAGTGGGCAGGTGGGGGGATGTCACTTGGAATATGTCAGATCCAGAAGTTGGGGAGCAATTCCCTTCTCCCATGGTGGGAGGAGCATGGGCAGTGCCCTCTGTCTCCCAGGAAGCTGGCTACATAGGCGGCGCTGGCCTTTGCTGGGGAAGCCCAAGAGAATAGCTCCAGCCCTCCGAAGTGGCTCTTCCCTTGGAGCCCTGTGCCCTGAGCACGTCCCTACGTGCGTCTCACTCCTTCAACACAGTTACTGAGGCCTCCTCTGGGTCAGGGCCTGGGGACCCAGAGATATCAGGAGCACAGCCCTGGCCTTTGAAGAGCCCACGGTTTTGTGGCAAGGACACACATGCATTATTAAACAATACAGATGTCCAAGGGCAGTGCTGTAGAAACAGATGAAGGACACCCCATCCAGCTTGAGGACTTAGAGAAGACTGCCTGGAGGAGGAGGCATGTGAATGAGGTCTTGTCAAACGAGCTGGCCCGGCAAAAGAGGAGGAGAGAAGTGTTCTTGGAAAGTGCCAGGTGCACCCAGGGACCCACAAGATCCCCCCACCCCAGTGTGCAGTATCTGTATTGGGGGTGGAAAAGCAGTGAGAAGTGAGGCTGGAGGGACAACTGGAGCCAGTAAAGGAGGGCTGGTTTTCTAGGTCAGGGGCACAGGGTTGTGGCTGATGGTGAGGGAGCCGGCTCTACTGGCTTTTGAGAGCTGACTGTGCTCATGAGTTCAGTGACCTCACAAGGTAGTTTGAAATTGGCCATGATGGAAATATTTGTACCATGGACATTGGCAAGTGCCACAAATCAGAGCCAGTTGTTAAAAAAAAAAAAAAAAGGAAGGAGGCAGCCTGGGTGGATTCTAAAGTAAGGGCATGGGATAATTAGCTTTGTTCCTTAGAAGGATGTCCTGACTGTTGCAGTATAAAGAACAGGTGGAGGGGAATGGGCTTGGAGACGAGCTGGGCCCTAGGTGACCTCCTGGAGACGGCCAGAGGCTGCCCAAGAAGGGTCTGGGTAGTGGGAGAGGATAGGCCCCTGCCTCCCACTGTGTAACCTGACTCCCACTGTGTCGGGCTCAGCCTGGGGGTGGGGCAGAGGATTAGGTGGCTCTTTCAGCCTTCCTCAGCTAGAGCCTGAGAATCCCAGTAAAACCCTTAATGAAAAACACCTGGGGCTCTGCCCCCGAGCCAGGCCTAGAGATGGGGATGGGAAGGGGATTAGGGGATCGGAAGTGAGGGTGGAGAGGGACTCCACTCCATCCATTCATTTGTTCATTCATGAACTCTTGTTTCACCCAGCTCCCTGCGCCTGGCCCTGGGAGAAGGCGGAGCGGAAAAAAGAGGGGCTAAGGAAGCCATAGAAGCACCGCACAGGGGCCATAGGGATCCCTGAGCCACGGCGCCTGCCTCATGTACTGATGCTTACTCTATGGAACCTTCCAGGCCAGGTCACAGTGCATCAGAGTCACGACTAGGCTAGGTCCTCGGTCTCCCACGTCTTCCCCGCAGAATCGTGTGTGTGTGTGTGTGTGTGTGTACGTGTGCATGTGCAAGTACATACACACATACAGGATTGTAGTGAGGGGGGTGTTGATTATAAGAATACAGGAAGGGTGGAGGCTGAGATCCACCCACTGGAGTGGTGGAACTCAGCCTTCATCCTTCCTGCCCAAGACATATTGCAGATGGAGCATGTGAGATCCCAAAAAAGAGACTTGGTGGATTCACAGCCCACTGGGGCTTGGCCTGGTCCGGGCTGGCCTCCGGGCCAGAAATGACCTGTGGGCCTTTGAAGCCTGGAGAGTTGGGGTGGCTGTGGGAGGGGGCTGGGCTCCAGGACCTCTGCCCCACCCTTCCCTGGAGGGAGGCACTGAAGAGGCAGGACCTGCCTCATCCAGGCAGCATTGCTCTCTGGCTTCTCAAGATGGCTCAGGGCTGGCCTGGAGGTAGTCATGGGGCTCCTGGGCACTGTGCTGTCTGGCAGCGGACTCAGGTTCCTGGCTGGAAGTGCTAGTGGTCACCAAACAATTGGGTTGGGATTTAGAAAAAGGATGTTCTGTTCTGGGGAGAAGCTTATTTGTGAACTCAGTTCCCACCTGTTGTGCACCTTCCGAGCCCTCCTCCCCACCCAAATTCTCCCCAGGCACAGTCAAAGGGCAGGCAGGGGCACAGGGAGCACCTCTGTGCATGTTAGACACAGCGCTCCCTTGGGGAAGATCCCCTCTGGACAGGCACCTGGCTTGGTGAGTGGGCATGGCTTTTACTGAAATTAGAAAAGAGGACACTGCTTCAAGCAGACACCGCATAGGTGCAGTGGCCAATCTGCACAGACACACCTGTACCCTCGAGCTCGTCCTCTAGTGGCTGGCGGGGAGGGCTCCATTTGTACAAACACAACTATTGCTTCCACACCCTGTCTGCCCTTCCTCCACCCATGGGCCGCTCCATTCCCCATCCTTCAGGTAATGGACATCTCTTAAAGGGATGTGAGGGACTGGGGCCTGGGGTGAGTGTGCTATGAAAGCAGAAATATTCACACTTCAAGGGCTACGGGAGGTGTGGCCCCCTGCTGACAGCAGCTTTCAGCAGGGGAAGCTCCCACAGGCCTTCTGGGCACCATGTGGGGAGGGAGGCCGGGTATCTGCAGATGAAAGGCACAGGACCGGCTGCAGCCCCAGGAGGCAGCCCAGGAGGCAGCCTAGCCAGCCTTCCCAGGGCTTCCCTCCAGGGCCAGGTGGTCCCAGCCTGTCTGCTCCCCTCACTGTGTCTGTGGTGTATCTACAGATGCTCCAGGGTGGAGGAACTAGCCTTGCCAGCCAGGCTGTGAGACACAACCACCTTCATTTCAGCCCTTGAAAGTGGAACAGCCTTCCCAGCACCCTGGCTCCTTCTAGGGCAAGCCCTCTGGAGAAGGAGTGCAGAGCTGCAGGCCAGCAGGCCCAGGGTCCCGCCTGGTATCTTGGGTGCTTTCCTTCCCTCCTGGGGCCTCAGATCTCCTCATCTGGAAATCAAGTTCAGAAAGGTGCAAAATGTACTGGTAAGAGGCAGAGCCGGTACTTGAACCCAGGACTGCCTGACTTCAAAGCTTCATCACAGCATCACAGGTTCTTCTAGGAGCCAGGGCAGACAGATGCTAACGAGGACTCATCCTCATGGGATCCTTCAGGATGTGGCTGAGCCCGCAGCTGCTTCATGTACATGGACTTCAAGAGGTCACAAAACTGTGAGCATTCTTAGGGTTTCTGAGGGCCACCCCCTTGAAGTTGAGGTTCAGAGAAGGGGAGTCTCTTGCCAGCCGTGGGGAGCCCAGACTCACTTGCTCCCAGCCAGTGCTCTTTCTGCTGTGCGGAGTGGCTTTCTCGAGCCCATCTAGGTTAGATGCCGCAAATGTATAGTGAGTGGGGGCCTTCCCCATGGGAGGAGAATGTCCTCTTGGGGAAGCAGAAACAGGGACGCCTCTGGCTCCAAGGCCGCAGCGATCACATGATATCTGCAGTGATCACCTGATATCTGCAATGAGTCTGTCACCCCTCCCTCTGCCCCTAGTTACTGACTCACAGAACAGTCGTTAGTTCCTCAAAGGGACAGGAGCAGCAGCCGATGACTGGCAGAGAAGTTACTGGGAGTTACTGGGAGCTCTCCGGTGGGTCAGTCACTAAGACCAGGCCCCAGGTTTGTGCTGGGCTAGAAAGAGCTCAGCAACAGTGACCTACACAAAGGTGGTCTGTGAAACCGAGGGCAGGGGTGAGCCCTCGGGCAGGAATTCAGGGGCCTCTGGCCTTGTCAGCTCCCTGAGGCCAGGGGGGATGGGGAGTGGGAGCCAGGGTGGAGGAACCATGGACTGGCCTGAGGAAGCAGTCCTGCCTGGAGACCCTGCTGAGGGCCAACATTGTACAGCCCCGGCTCCCTCCAGGGACCCTGCCCTTGGAGATCACAGCATCCTGCCGGGAAGTCACATATCAGACCTCTGGGGCTTGGCTACCTGTGAGCCAGCAGGGAACACTTGGTCAGGTGTCAGGGAGAGGCTTTCTGGCTGGCCTGGAATGGTGGGTGGGATTTTCCCATGGGAAAAGCCTGGAGAACAAAAAAAATAGGAAAACCAGGTGAGGCGGGGAGGTGAGTTGGTGGAAGGGTGGGAGCTGAGGCCTGGAGCCTGCCTCTGTGGGAGAAGGGAGGCTGTGGGCAGATGCTGGTTCCTCATTTCCCTGTTCCCCTGCAGCACCCGCAGAGATGGCTAAAGCAGGCCACCCTCAAAGGGCACAGTGTGCTCTCATGAGTCAGGGGCCAGGCTGGGGAGCACCCTCTGAGCCCCGCTTCCCAGTCGGCCTTCCAACCATTCCCTCCCAGCTTGAGGCCACTTCCTGCAAGAGTTAGTCAGCTCTGCTCACATGCCCGGGCTGGGGGTGCTCAGACCGCACAGTGAGACAGCTGTCTTGGGCCCCCTGGACGCTTCCTTTGTGCTGCCCAGGAGAGAGCCTGCCCTCTTACCCGCCACCCCACCCCACAGCTCCAAGTCTGTGGCACAGCCTCCTGGGAAAGGAAGTCCTCGGGCCACTCAGCCGCTCCGCCAGCCACCTGGAGGAGCCCCGGAGATGAACTGTGGGCTTCTCCTCACTGTCTCCTCCTCCTCAACCCTGCAGTTCTGGCCTTTGCTTTTCCCAGTTACTTCCTCAGCAGCTGCGCTTTGATTCCAAGACCATCAGCACGCACAGGAAGGGCTTCCAGGAAGAGGCAGGCCCTGAGCTGGTTCCTAAAGTGCCAAGAGGACCTGTCTAGGACTCCAGAAACTTCCAGGAGTCAGGGAACCTGGGGCAGAGACAGTCCTGAACGCTGTGAATGGGGCAGCTCGGCCTCTCCTTCCCCGCCCTCCAGTCTGACCCTCAGATTCTCTTCAGGCACAGCTGGAAGTGGGATGAGGACGACAGCAGGGGGAAGAAGGCAAGACTAGGTCGAGGAATTCTGTCTGTGGGACAAAGAAGTTTATCTGCCTGGTGGGGTCTCTGGGTGCAGCGAGCTACCTGTGAACATGCTAGGGGGATTTAGAACCCAGTGGGAATGACACTGACAGGCAGGGAACAGAGAGAAGATCGGGCCATTCTTTCCTCATTGCCTCCGCCATCCTGAACACATGGGCATTCCTGGCTCTCATACCAGCCACGTGCCCCCTCTCGGCTTTTCCCTGGAGCCCCTGGTGATTTTAGGATGTTTTCTCCCCATGCTGGGCTGCTGTGGGGGACGTAGGGGGAGGCAGCCCTGGGGGCCCAGTGCATACAGCTGGGGGTTACGCCAAATGCACTGAACAGAGGGACACTGGAGACGGGACTCATGACAGGCCCTCCCCCACCCTGCCAGTGAGACCGATGACTTCCTGAAAAGGGGTTACATGGAGGGTTGGCAACATGGAACATTTGATGTGACCCGAGAACTTCCTGTTCAAATGACGCCTGGGGCTCTTGACCTACTCCCGAAAGTGTCATGTGCACAGTCGGAATGAGCCCTAGGAAGCGGGACTTCTCCAAGCAGAGCTGCTTGCAGGCTGTGCCCACCTTGGGCACCGGGATCCAGGCTCTCCTACTCCAGAGGGCTCTTCTGAGTTGCTGCCGCAGAACCTGCTTGGTGGCCTGTGGCTCACGACGTCAAAGGAGGAGGCATCGGGAAGTGGATGTTCCCAGCAAGAGGGTCTTCTGATGTCCCCCACCCTCCTCAAAGCACCAGGGAAATTGGATCTTAAAAAGGGCCTTGGGAACCCAGTGCTGAGCCCTTCAAGGTAAGTAAGGTCAATGACAGCCATGGCCCGAGGTGAAGCCAGAGAGTGTTTGCTTTCCTGGGAGAAGGCAAACTGAGCAGTGACTCAATTGAGAAATATGCCATCGAGTGCTTGTTTCTGAAACAACAATGTAATCAGAAGTCAGTCCAACTAGGAATGAGCAGTGAGGCCTGAGGAGTTAAGCCCCCACCCTCTGCCACCTGTGGTCCCGCCCCAGCACCAGGGCCCACCTCCGAGGAAAGCATAGATCTGACCTCCTGCCCCCTGAAAGCCCCAAGGAATGGATGGCTAAAGGAAGATCTAAGCCCAGTGCCTCCCCTATGGAAGCACTCCAGCCTGTTCAGCTTTCCTGGCTGATGGGCAAAGGTGTTTTTTGGCTGGCAGCTCTGGCTTTCTTTAACTGCTGGCACCTCCAGGGATGGAGTCCTCCCAGACCTCTCCTGTGGGTGCAGCAGGAGACCCAGGAACTCTAGGCTGAGTTCATGCATCTGAGAGCCTTGTTCCTGCATCCGAAGGGGAAGGACAAGGCCAGCAGCCATCTATTCACTGACCCCTCTCCATGGCTCCCAGGCCATTCCTGACATGGCTTGTCTGGGAGAACTGGATGGATCCTGGCTAAACATGGTAGAAAATCAGAGCTTCAGGAAGGCTGGATATACATGTGCATTTATCCACCTGGATGTTTGCAGGCACTGCCTCAAAGTTATCATTTCCATCCCAAACACCAGCCTCTCCCCCTGGGTATCCTCTCTCAGAATCTCCATCCCCTCCATTGCCTGAGCCAGAGATGCAACTGCTCCTGGAGATTCCTCCCTCTCTGGAATGCTCCTGGTTCCACCTGTTGAATGTCTACATATGTCTTGGTTCCAGCTCTTCCTTCACCCTCATCACCACTGTCCTGGTTTACTGCTTCATTTTCCTTCATCAAGATGATAGCAATAGTCTCCTAGCTGGTATCTTTACCCAGTCTTATGCCCTCTATCAATCAGGCAGGTCGAATTCAAATTTGGGTAATTTGAGAAGAGTGTACAAAGATGTGGGCAAGGGGCAGGGAGACCCCCTTGAATCTCTGAGGTGAGCTGGGAGAGTGCTGTGACTTTTCCAAAAAGATGCATCCAGGTTGCACACAGCCTGCAGGAGGGAGTCAGGGAGAACCCTGCTCTCCTCCCTCCCCTCATCTCCTTCTGGGGGTCCCCAGTAGCTGAGTTGTCTGTCCACAGGAGGGTGAGGGAGCCTGTGGATGCTGTCTGCTCAGGTTGGTCTTCCTAGTACAGGGCAGCCGAGAGAAGGTTCTGGAAGGTGAAGGAAGGATGTTCATACAGACATGCAGACATATTCGTCACATAGCACCAGGGAGACATTTCTAAAACACATACCTGGACATGAGCCTGCTTAACATCCTGAGAATAACCAAAACAATTGTGTGAATGAACAGCAAACACCATCGTCACCCCCGTGGGTCTCTGGTGCGGGATAGGCACCAGCCTCAGCCCCTTTCACAAGATCTAACCCTCTCTTTCCATGCATCATGACCTTCAAGGTCAATGCCAGTGTCCCATTTTACAGCTGAAGTAACTGAAGCTCGGAGAAGCAGACGCCTGCGTCTCACATTCAGGACCTGGTAACACTGGAGTCTGAGCACGGGGCTGAGTCAGCTGTGACAACATCTCTTCCTGGGGCCTTCGAGGCCCTATGGGTTTGTCCTCAGCCCTCTCCACTCTTGGCCCAGCCCTGCTGCTCCTCGCTCCTGGGACTCCTGGGCTGCAGCCAACCTGAGTGACTGGACTCAGCCAACTAGACTCCAGCCAACTCTGGAGCCTCCCTGCTCTCTCGCCTATCTGAGCCTTTTGGGGAAGGTGTGTACGAACGATGGCCCAGAGGCCACAGTATTGCCTCCATGCCTGCTTTTGTACGGTCTGTGAGGGAAAAATGCTTTTTACATTTTCAACGATTGAAAACTTCAAAAGAAGAATATTTTGTGACATGCGAAAATGTGGCATTTTAATGTCCATAAATAAAGTTTTATTAGAACACAGCCCCGCCCGCTTGTGTGCCTTTTGTCTATGGCCGCTTTTGTGCTGCCGTGGCAGAGTTGAGTAGTTGAAAATATTTTCAAATACTCACTATCTGACCCTTTACAGGAAAGGTTTGCCAACTCCTGCTGAGTTGTATGGCTTTATGACACACAACTCAGTCTTCACTGTATTTTTTTGTGCGTTTAAATTTCACCTGTAATTAATGAATATATGCACATTATGGAAGATTCAAACAAGGCAAGGGTATGGGGGAAAGTACAGGAGTCCCCTGTCCCCACCTCCTTCCTCGGGTGATTGTCATTAACACCTCCGAGGCTTGCAGATACTGCTTCTGCTTCCTCTGTCTGCGTTGCCCTGTGCTGCTTCTGTTTCACAAAATCCCATCACACCTCAGGGCCAAGCGCTGCCGCCATCTGGTCTACACCCTCTGAAAGCTGCCCCTGGCCCTGTCTTCCTGATGCATGTTGCTCCAAAGGTAGCATCTCATAGAGACTGACAGCATGGGTGCTGGACCCGCTGCCTGGGTCTTAGCTGGGCTCTGCCACCTACTAGCTGTACATCCCTAGGCTGTTGCTTACTGTCACTATGCCTTAGCGTTTCCCTCATCCTTAAAATGGTGGTCATGGAATGATCTATGTGCTTCACAGGCTTGTGAAGCCCATGTAATAAATAATTAAACACATATTGGCCAGGCACACTGGCTCATGCCTGTAATCCCAGCAGGCAGAGGCAGACAGATCACCTGGGGTCAGGAGTTTGAGACCAGCCTGGCCAACATGGCAAAACCCCTTTGCTACAAAAATACAAAAAATTAGTCTGGCGTGGTGGCGTGCGCCTGTAATCCCAGCTACTCAGGAGGTTGATGCATGAGAATCGCTTGAACCTGGGAGGTGGAGGTTGCAGTGAGCTGAGATTGCACCATTGCACTCCAGCCTGGGCAACGGAGCAAGACTCTGTCTCAAAATAAATAAATAAATAAACAAACAAACACATGTGACCTGCTCAGAACAAAGTGTGGTATACAGACGGTGCTGCTAGGGAGCCATCATGGTAGCTGGCGCCCATGCAGCCCGCATCCATGCCTGGCTCCCCAACCAGGGTGCAGGCCCCCGAGGCAGCAAGCGCATCCTCTCTACTCTCTTCTTCCTCAGGGCTTAGCCCAGACAGGAGCTCAGGAAACAAACAGCGATGCTGCAAGAAGGCCGCATGACAGGCCTCAGGGCCAGGGCCTCAGGTGTCCTGAGAGAATGAGGGCACCATGGGAGCCAGAATACCCAGGTCTTCTCAGGCCGGGCTGTGAGGATGTCCCAAGCACATGACCCAGAACTTGGGGTCCCTGAGGCTGGGCAGGTGAATCTAGGACAAAAAAAGGCACAACTTCTCAATAAGCGGGAGCCCACCCTTTTTTGATTGTTGAGGGGCCTTCAGAGAGTCTGAGGATCACAGTGTCTCTTGGCTGTGAGGAGGGGCCAGGGAGCTCCGGCAGGCCCAGACCTGGGCACCCAGACTCCTAGGTTCTTTTGGAGGGGCACCCGGCAAGGCTGACTGAGCCCTCAGATCAGCTGGGAGCCCTCATCAGACCAGCAGGGTTCAGACTTTTCGGAACACTGAGGAGGGGGAGTGGGAGTGGGGTAAAGGCACCTCCACCCCTCCCACCTTCACAGAAAATTATCTTTCCCCCTCCCCACCCCCACACATAGTGCTGTCCCCCGAACCCCAGATGTACATCCCAACCTTCTTCAGTCCTCCTAGCTTTTGAGGCAGTGAAGCCAGATCTGAAATGGACACACGGTTTACTTAGGGTAAAGGACTTTAGTGCTCCACTCAACAAGCAAATAAAAGGCCGAAGCCTCGGGCGAGGCTGGGGTGGACAGGTGTGGCAACGTCCGCGAATCTGGAGACAGATTTGGCTCCGAATGAGCTGTGAGTTCTCCACCACCACCACCATGCAGGCTCTGGCGCTTGAGACCCCGGATGCTCCCAGGGAGGGGCCCAGGGGCTGGTGTGGGTATGGGCACATGCCTGTGCTTCCCCGAGCAGCCAGGGCCAGAGACCGGGCTCCACAAGGCTCAGAGGGTTCATGGAGAAAGGGGAGGAGGGGCCTGAGGCGTGGCTCCCTGTCTGTCATGGGCCTGGGTGGGCGGGTCCTCCTGCGTCCTCTAGTCCAGTCTGGAGTCTGATGCTCTGTGGCAGGAGCAGCTTGGGACAGGCTTAGGTGACACTGTTTGAGGAACATCTCCCTTGAGGCTGGTCTCATCCCAGCAATGGATGGCTGGCAACAGGGGCTGGAGTCTGCATGGGCTGGAGTGGGAGGATGGCATCAAATGTGATTGTAGTCACATCTGCACATCTGGCTAGGCTGTCCCTTGTTTCCCTCCAGCTTCATGTCTCTTGCTTCTGGGAGCCCGCCTGGCCCTGCCCCACTGGGCCAGCCCCTGAGTCGGGTGGTGGGTGCGGGCGGCGGGTGCGGCCACCATTGTGCAAGGGGTGAGCTCACCCGCCGTGCCCAGCCTGGCCTGCACTGGCCTGCCCGCTGCTGGTTAATCATTGTTCAAACACCCTGGCAGGCAAGTGGGCTGTGGAGGGAGACGTGACAGGGCAGGGCTGCCTCTGCCAGGTCTCAGCAAAGCTCTGCCAGCAGGCCCAGGGCCGGAGCCGCTCCCCAGGACCCCACAGAGAGCAGCCTGCAGTGGGGCTGAGACCACCTCTCCTAATTCCTTAGGAGGAACTCAGTAAATATTTTTGATAGACTCAAAGAACACCCCTTTGTAGGTTTCCTGTTTTGGGGTAAACACCCAGCAGTTTAGTACCATAGCTATGAGGGTGGGCCCCAGAGTCCAAAAGCTTTGGGTCAAACCATAGCCCTGTCACTTATGGGCTGTGTGAACTTGGCCGAATTTCATAATCTCTCTGTGCCTCAGTTTCCTGGGCTGTACAAAGGAGTTGATGATGATAATAGTGCCCTCCTCATAGGACTGTTGGGAGGATTAGGATATATATAAAGTGCTTACTAGGCCCATCGCCCCGAACCAAGACTGAAACACTCATCACGGCTCCCAGCTCATGGCCACCAGATGACGGGCTGGGCTGGTTGTACACTCACATGTTCTGCTGTGAATTAGGTACAACTTTCCCCACTTCCCAGATGAGAACACCTGGGCTCAGGAGAGGGATGGAGAGGGATGTTACGTGTGAAGCAGCTACTGAAGGTCACAAGATAGAAATGACAAAGCTGGGTTTCAAGCCCAGGTTCATCTGCACCCAAATGCCATGTTCTTCCCATCACCCAGCCCTGCCAGGCTTGCAGATCAAAGGTGCAAATCTGAACTTGCCAGGCAATTAAATGCTGCCCATGTTCACTGACATTCTCTGAGCACTGTGGGTAGAGGGGTGGTGAGGAGGCTCTGGGCTGAGTTTGCTGTTAGAAAGACAGAGATCAACAATGCCCAGCCCAGTCCCTGGGCCCAGAGAGCCCTCGATGGATGAGGAGAGAGCATGAGCTGTTCACTGCCCGGCAGAAGCCCAGCACCACCATGGCTGAGACCCAGGTGGCTCCAGGACCCCCAGACAGGCAGGGTCAAGGAGGCAGTTGGTGGGAAAAGGGCCTTGAAGCGGCACACTGTGTTTGATTTGTGTGATTTTTTTCAGCGTGTGTATATTTGGCATGGTTTAGGTGGGGGCGAGTTGCAGAGATCAGAGGCCTAGAATCCCCTTCTGCCTCTTACCCCAGGCTTCCCCACGGTGCTGCTACTAGCTGGGACTGAGTAGAGACAGCCATAGAGACAGGTGCCAGACTCCTGTTAAGGGCCCTGTCGGAGGAGCACTCGTCTCCTGGGAAGAGTCCCAGCCCTTGGCGAGGGCTCTTTGGTCTACTTCAGAGCCGCACCTTGAGGGAGAGTTCCGGGTGTCGGGCAGCTTGCCCTGGGGCCTCTGGGGCATTTGTGGGGCCCCATGGGAGCCTGCACACCATGGGATAGGCAGCTAGGAAAAATCCGTGTCAGACACGCAATCTGAGACCTTGGGAAAGAAAGGACCTTGTGGCCAAGGAATGTGGCTCAGTGACCTGTGTATGTGTACGTGTGTGTATGTGTGTGTGCGTGAGCACGCGTGTGCGCACGTGTGTGTGTCTCTCTGTATCTGTGTGTGCATGAATGTGCAATGAGAGCTGGCTAGGGCAGCAATGTTCCTCCTCAGAACACTGAAATTGGTAATGGTCATCTGATGACAGCCCCGGGAACTTCTCCCTGCCTCGCTGGCATGCCACCCTTCCTTCCCCTTCCTAGGGGACACCCACTCACACCTGCCCTCACTGTAATGCCCAGTGGCCCCTGCCTTCTCAGCCTCTCCTCATCCAAACAGGCTCTCAGAATATCCTCTGAGAAACTCACTTCTCCTGAGCTGTTGGTGGCTGAAAATGAGGCCTCCTGTGTGGCCCTCCCAGCCACTCTCACCTTCCAGGGACAGTCCTCCTGTCCCTACGTGCGCAGCGTCAGCTATGCCCAGGGAGGACCTTGGCTTTCTAGGACACAGAGGCAGCCTGCTCTTGCCTGGCTCCTGCTGGAGATGGAAGACATGCCCGGCTGTGGACTACAGGCAGCTGAAACCAATCACAGCCACCATGACACATTCCAGCCTCTGAGGCCAGACTGAGCCATGAGACTCTCCTACCTACTTGCTGACACACCTGAGAGGCCTCGGGCACAAGGAGACACTTCCTGGCCATAGTTGAAGCCACAGATATAGGTGTCGGGGGACATAGGTGAGACGCTGGTGGGGCAGGAAAAGTGCGTGTGATGCATGGTGTTGGTGCCAGACAGGTGTATGGAAGATATTAGAGAGATCCTAAAAGGAGTGAAAAAGTTGTAATCTCCTCTCCCATCTATCCTCTACACACACCTCCAGTATTATTTTTTCTATCTCAGCCAGTCTAGCTATTCAATGATACATGGTGGTGGTGTTAGGGAGGTATGTGGTGTTCCTGGAAGACATGAGAAAGATACACAGATCATGGAGAAGGCAAAGGTTCTAATCTCATCTTCAGTTTGTTCTCTACACACACACTACCGTTATCATCTTCCTGATCTCAGCCAACTTGGCTGTTCAATGATGATCAAGTTCTTAGGGTAAACATTAGTGTCTCCTAAACCCCAAAGATAAGATGGGAAAGGGTCTTCAGGCCCACACCCTTGCCACAAGGAGATATGTTACAATGAAAGTAAATTTCAGACCATATTCTGCCACAACGACATACTTTTATTAGCAAATAGTCACAAAAATAGTCATTTGGCCCCTCCACTAAACTTGGGGCATCACCTTTCTCTACCTCTAGGCTTGCTGATAAGCACTCACATGGGAAGTCCAGTAGCTCAAAGATATGGCGATGTTCTGTCAGCGGGACCAGCCGAGCTTCTGGCTGGGCCAGGAGACAGAGTCGTCAAGGCCAAGAGGGGACTCAGAATGAAATGGGAATAGACCCAGAGCACCAGTCCCTGCTTGTCAGGCACCCAGGTTTGCTGGATTCTTCTGTCTTGTTCAAGCAGAGACATAGGTGCCTAAACCATCTTTCCAGCTGAATATAGTTCTTGAACATCACTCACTTCACCAACAACAAATTACCTGGATATTGTTTATGCTAGTTAATGAATTTTGGGGAGCAGATTTAAATAACTATATTTGAAGCCTTTGCTAGCCACTTCTAGGGTGTGAGTTACTTTAAGTGTTAACTCATCAACCCTAGAGCATACATTACAATTAGCTCACACATAGAGACACTATCTCTTCTGTTCATACAATGGAGCTTTAAAGTAAGTCACAGACATTACACTAACCTGGGGTGTAACCCTTGGTGCTATTGACATTTTGAGCCAGAGAATTCTTTGTTGGGGTGGGGGGCAATCTGAGCATTGCAGCCTTTAGCAATAAAAACCAATACTTGGCATTTATCCAATAGGTAATAGTAGCATATCCCCCCCTCCGCCACCAAGTTGTGATGACCAAAAGGCCACCATACCTTGCCAACTGTCCCCTGGGGACAAAATCTCTCCAGGTTGAGAACCATTGAACTAGAGTGACCATATTTATTGTCCACTCTGGGACACTTTCTTCTTAAACTTACATATCAGAAAATGTTAACTAAACACAAACATAGGGAGACTAGTATCATCAACACACCACCACCTCATGTATCCACCACTAAAACTCCATAATTGTCAACTCAACCAATTTTATTTCGTCTCTACTCCCACTCACATTCGGCCACCACTTCCCCTTGCTAGATTGGTTTGAAGCAAATTCTAGACAATATTCATCTATAAATATCTAAGCGTATGTCTTCATTTTTTAGATTTTTTAGTTGGCACATAGTAATTGTACATGTTTATGGGGTACATAGTGATGTTGAGAGGCATATAATGTGTACTGATCAAATCAGGGTAATTGACATATTCATCTCTCAAACATTCATCATAAAATATGGAATGCTTCACAAATTTGCATGTGATCCTTTGTGCAGGGGCCATGCTAATCTCTGTATCATTCCAATTTTAGTATATGTGCTGCCAGAGTGAGCACTAGATCGATTGATCTATCTATCAATCAATCTATCTATCTTTAAAAGATAAGAACTGTTTTTTGTTTTTTTTTTTTAGATGAGGTCTCACTATGTTGCCCAGGCTGGAGTGCAGTGGCTCCACTGAAAGGAGTGAAGCCTGAATTCCACTGCACTCCAGCCTGGGCAACACAGTGAGAGCAGTGGGATCCAGCCTGGGCAATGTACCCAGAGCAGGCGCAATCCCACTACTGATTGGCACAAGAGTTCTGACCGGCTCCGTTTCCAACCTGGGTTGGTTCCCCCTTTTTAGGCAAACTGGTGGTCCCCTGCTCCCAAGAGGTCGCCATATTGATGCCAAACTTAGTGTGTACACCCAATTGGCATAACGCGCTACAGCCCAGAATTCCTGGGGCCAAGTGATCCTCCTGCCTCAGCCTCCAGAGTAGCTGAGAATACAGGCATGCACTATCATGCCCGACAGAACTCTTTTTTTGTTTGTTTGTTTTTTGAGACAGTCTCGCTCTGTCCCCCCAGGCTGGAGTGCAGTAGCATGATTTAGGCTCACTGCAACCTCTGCCTCCTGGATTCAAGCAATTCTTGTGCCTCAGCCTCCCGAGTAGCTGGGATTACAGGCATGTGCCACCTTGCCTGGCTAATTTTTGTATTTTTTAGTGGAGACGGGGTTTTGCCATGTTGGCCAGGCTGGTCTCGAACTCCTGGCCCCATGTGATCCACACGCCTTGGCCTCCCAAAGTGCCGGGATTACAGGCATAAGCCATCGTGCCTGGCCCAGAATTCTTTTTTTTTTTAAATGTAACTATAATATTATTATACTTTAAAAATTAAAAATAATTCTTTAATATCATAAAATATCCAGTAGGTAAAACCAGGATACTCTTGAGAGTGTAATGGGCAATCAGTTTACTAGGAAAAGCAGGCATAAGTTGGAACTGTCCAGGCAAACCAGGACTGTGCCAGGCATATGGAGCATGTGTTTTCCTTAAATATAACCCTTTCTAATGCATGTGTCTGAAAAGTCATTCCCCTGCTCAAAGCCTCTAAAGGCTCCCAGCACCTAAATACAAAGTCTCGACTCCGCCCAAGTCTCAAGGCCCTCTGTGGTGTGCCCACCACTTGCTCCTGTCTTCTCCTCCAATATCCTCCTGATGTGGTTCCAGCTGGTAGCTGCATCACCCAAGGAATCTGGTGACTGCCACCACTCTCTGATGCTCAGAGATGTTGCTGCATGGGGCATGGCCCTGTGCAAGCTGGAGGCACTGGTGGGCAACCTGGATATGGCTTTTTTGTTCATTTGGATTTTAGCTGTCCCTCTAAGTTACCTGAATTTGAATGTTGGCAGAAGTAGGATGTTAGGGTTTGCCATGAAAACAGTTCTGGGCTAGAAGTGGCTCAACCTGGCCTGATTTCTTTTTGCAGGGGAAAGGGGTCTCTTCCTTCTTACCTTTCTTTTTTGAAACATGTATCCGGGGCGTACTTTGCTCTTGAGAGACTAAAACTGCTAATTCCCAAATGCGGAGGGCACCTGTCTATTCTCAGCCATGCCCAGGGCAGGGCACAGAGCTGGGGCTCCACCATGGTGTGCAGAGAGAGCTGCTGGGAGTGTGGGTGCCATCATCCCTGCACAGACAGACGACAGACACACAGAGCTCGGCCTGTTAGATGAGTGTCAGCTCCACTGCTTCCCCAGGGGCTTCTTGGAGCCCAGGGCTCCCGCTAAGGATCAACTGCCTTCTGTGCCTGGAAGAAGCAGAATTTCTTTCCTCTTTATAATCTGAGCTCCACAGTCAGGTTTGCTCAGTGACTCCTGTCTCTAAGTCCCTGCAAAGCTCCTGAAGGTTGAATTTGGGGACTTCTGGCCGAGTACAGCTGAAGAATGAAAGAAAGCCATTCTGCTTGACATGAAGCTAACAAATAACTAGAAAACTTTTCCAGGCCCTGCAAGGATATAATCCTTGGAGCTGTCTCAGCCTGCATGCCCGGGGCCAACTGGCCATGCAGTTCCTGGTCATCAACCACCAGGATGCCTGCCAGACAGACCTCACCCGCCTGCTGTCAGAACCCCTTTACTCCCTGCATTAGCCAGGCCGCCATCCATCCACTCAGCAGAGAGGTCTCGTTTGCCTGGGTCCCCACCCAGCCCATAACAATGCCCAGTACCTGGTGCAGCTTCGTGGTGGCCTGCTGCTTGCCCTGTCCTATGGTGGGTGCTCGTTAGGGCCCTGGGGATCCTTTCCTGCTAGCACACCTTCATTCATTTGCTTATTGAGGATCTACCATGTGTGCCGGGCACAGGAGTAGGTGCTGGGACACATTAACACCAACAACAATTCCTGCTGCATCACGGGGCTTCCGTCCCAGCAGATCGAGCACCCAGGGCAACCATGATGAATTTTCATACAGGAGTTGGCTTCTCCTCTCTTCCCAGAAGCCCTGGGATCCTTTTGCAAATTCTTCTCCTCTTCCCAAGGGACCTGGTTTGCAGAGTAAGGGGCCTTCACAGAGGCCTGCCCAGGTCAGGCCACAAAAGGTTGCATTGCAACCTCACCCTGGGCAATGTTCCCAGTCCCTCCACCTACAGAATAGATCTGTCAAGTGGCTGTTCTCTGAGGAAAGGAGATGGGGTTCAAGATAATTTGCTATTTCCACTGGAGTGCAGTGTATGTCATGCGTGTGTGTTGTGCGTATGGCAGTGGGGATTTAGGCTTCTATGAGCAATATGGTGAATTCTGTGAGGATTTTTATGTGGCATCCAAGAGGATTCTATGAAGCTTCTACATGGATTTCATTAAGATCACATAAGGATTTTATCTTCATCCACAAGAAGTAGGCATGGGTTCTATAAAGATTCTAAGAGGTCTTACTTAGTGTGTGAGCAGCTGAAGCCTTGAAGTGTGGGTGGATGAGCCAGTGCTTTGCTTTCAGTTGCACCCGCCCAGCCAGAAGTGAGCTCTCGCCCCCACTTCTCTTCCCCTATAACCTGAGAGCATTTCTTGTCTGCTGGGCTCTTCTTTTGCCCTCTACAGAACCAATTTAATGAAATGAATAAAAAAAGGAATAAAAGGAAAAGGGCAAACAGCACATGGGGCCCTTGGCAGAGGACAGCCTCCGACATGAAAGACTCCGAGGCACATCAAAGATGCCGAGAGACAAACACACAGCGCCCGCCCCTGCCTGCACCATCACTGTGACTTTCCAAGCCCCAGCAGCTCCCCAGAGCCCTCCTTTTCTGAGGCTTAGGGATGCGGGTAAGTGGGCCACGGCCCTGGCAGCCTGAGAAGGTTCAGCTGCTCCCACTTCTGCTGGCTCCTGGGCAACTCTCTGCAGGTCCCCACAGGCCCCATTCTCCACCCCGGGTGGTGGAGGACAGCCACACACAAGCAGCCGGAAAGAAATCAGAGCGTGCTCAGGCCTGGGGCTGGGGTTGGAGGGGAGAAGAGGGAGGGCCCAGACCTGGGAGTGGGCAGGGCTCCTGTGAGTTGGAACCTCAAGACCTTCCTCCTCCAAGAAACACTTCTCGGCAGCTGGCTCCATTCCGGCGGGCGAAATTGTTGTTTTTCATTTTATCTGACTTTCCTCTAGGGCCAGTGCTGTCCGGCAGATTTTTCTGCATTGATGAAAATGTTCTTTATCTGCACTATCTGACACAATAGCCTTTAACCAAAGGTGGCTATTGAGCGCTTGAAATGTGGCTATTATGACTAAGGAACTGAATTTTACATTGTACTTAATTTTAATGAATTTAAATATAAATTATCAAATGCGGCTAGTAGCACCTGTGTTAGACAGTGCGGCCTGTGAACAGGGCTCTTGTTTGATTCGTTGGTGCCCTCCTCTCTAAAACTGCAGCACCCCCAAGAGGGTCTGGCCCAGGCTGGGCTCAGCAGGCTTCAGGCTTTCTGTCTTGCGGGACTTCCTCACAGCTCACACCTGTCTGCAGTGGTGGTTTTTGTTAGTTGGTCCCCACTGGGCACAGGTCACCAGGGCTGAGGGTATGCCTAGGTCTGAGGGTGACTGAGGAGATCCAGGCTCTAGCCTGAGCATAGCCCCATGCTTTGTGTGTGACCCTGGGCAGGTCTGCCCCTCTGCAGTGAGGGAACAATGCTTGACTATGCCTGAGGTTTAATGACACCCCCCGACCATCCCCCCTC
Organism: Homo sapiens; assembly: GCF_000001405.40. Classification (NCBI taxonomy): domain Eukaryota; kingdom Metazoa; phylum Chordata; class Mammalia; order Primates; family Hominidae; genus Homo; species Homo sapiens. The sequence goes on along the minus strand of NC_000002.12, from coordinate 20,171,655 downwards.
AATCTGCCCCAGTGGCCTGGGATCAGGGAAGTAAAGCCCACAGGCATTCTGGGTCAGCGTCCTTGTTTCTCCTCTTCTCCCATCAGGCCCTCCAATGGAGATCATTATCCAAATGATAATGATTAACACTTGGCTTTGGGGTCAGACTAGCTTTAAATCTCAGCCCCACTGCTTACTGCCTGTGGAGCTCCAGTACCTTTGGCTGTGTAGAGTGGGGGTTACATTTGGTGTCAGAGGTCCTGGGTTTGAGTCAGCGGTGTGCTAGAGACAACTTGTACACACTCATGAGAACAGCTTGTCCTATTTTCGAGGGATTTTCTGAGCCAATTGATAAACACAATTGTTTAATAAAACAATTAAATTATATGAAATTGTTAAATGCCTCTATGTCATCTACTACATGTGTGGTTCTCGAGGGCAAGGATAAGGTGGGAATTATCTATGACAGTCACGCCAGGGACTTTTCCAAACTCTCTTCCTCCTGCAGTTCCGATGCACCTGTTCCTCCTTCGGGTGTGAGCAGAAGGAAAAGAGGGCAGGGACCACTATGCCACCCCTCGCTGTGTCAAATGCAGAGACTAACAGGCCCCACGAGGCCTCTTGTTCTGTTGTGTGGCTGCCCTGGGTACCTGTCCAGCTGCCCCTGGGGCTGTGAGAAGGCTGGGAGCTGCTGTAGGGAAGTCTGGATTCTGGGTCTCTCCATCCAGAACCCTGGAGTCCGCCCATGTCAGGAGCAGGAAGGAAACACTTGTTTTCCTGCACATGGTATGTATGGTGCAATGATAAAGCCAGGAGGTGCTGGCTGACACAGCACAGCATGGGACTTCCACAGCAAGTCCCCAGGGCACTGCCCACGGCAAGCCCTTCTCCAAACCCGAGGCTGAGTCGCGCCGCGCACTGGCTGCCCTAAGTGTGGTGGCTGCGCCAGGGGCAGGCTGAGCTCACAATTGGTTAGCCCAGCCTTATATTTTTGGTTATACTGTTCTGCTCCCCCACACACATACAGACCCAAGATTTAATGCACGTGCATTTTTTTTTCTGGGAAAATTGTCTATGGATTTCATCAGATGCTCCGAGGGACTCTGATCCCTTTATCATTGCACTAAATGGTGACTAGAAGGAGGCCTTGGCCTTGGAGCTGGGAGATGTGGCTTAGAATTCTCATCAGTTCTAAATTGCTGCATGAACTCGACAAGCCACTTTATTTTTTGCTCTCTAAAATAAGGCAACAACCTTGTCTTAAGTGGTGATTTAAAAACAGGCTCACAATCGTGTTCACATATCCTTTGACACGCTTCCCATGAAAAGATGGAATTCAATTGTCCTTCCTTCAGTATGGGCCAAGTTTGATGAGACACTGCTGATTAATAGAGGCGGAAATGGTGCTGCATGACTCTAGGGTCTAGGTTAGAAAAGGGAATGCAGCTTCGGCCTGGCTTGCTCTTGCTCAGGACGCACACCCCATGAGGCCTGAGCCCACATAAGAGGTCCAGCTACCCTGACACCGCCATGCTGGAGGGAGGCGTGGCTGCAAGGAGATAGACAGAGGAGTGTGAGGCACCCCAGCTGTGCCTGCCCCCTGCCATCGGGTCTTCCCACCCCAGGCGCAGGCATGTGAGTGAATGAGCAGCTTCGGATGATAATAGCCTCCAGCCTCCAAGCTGCCCCAGCTGAAGCCAAGTGGAGCAGCAACAACTGCCCGCCCAGCCCTGCCCACTTTGCATATTCATGAGCAAAATAAATACTGCTGTTTTTGTTTTAAACTCCTAAGTGTCGGGGTGGTTTGTTACGCAGTGTTAGGTAATATCTGGGCACCCTGCCTACCCTCAAGGGAAGCTGTAAGCATCACTTGATGTAATACCTTTCACATGCCAGGTACTCGGCAACACTGAATGTATGGGACCTGCAAATCGACCAGGTGATGGGGTAACTGGGACCTGATGGGACTTCTGCTTAGCCATCTAAGTTGCTAGGAGCTTTCTGGAGAAGAGGGTTATTTGCCCCAGCCCAGTGGGTCCACAGGTTTCCTGGAGAGGGCGTGTGTCCCTGGACAAGAACCAGTCCCTGTGGGGGAAGACCAGATAGGGAGGTGTTCTTTTTCCTGTTGGCTATTGGTCATGACAGGCGTCCCAGGAAGAGGTGGGGAGCGTGAGGAGGAACTGGGAGCAGTGGGCCGAGGCTGGGCTGGGATAGCAGTGGTCCCAGTCCCAGCAGGCCCTGCAGCCTGGCCTCTCTTCAGACCGCAGCCTCGCTCTGTGCATTCTGTTATCCTCGCGCAATCACCCCGACTATTTACTGCTCTCACTCCCTCACAGTCCAGGCACTCCTCCAGGGAAGGGGCTGTATTCAGCACAGTTTGAAGCCCCAGAACTTAACACACAGCCTATAGGGAGTTAGGTGTCCAATAAATGTGTGTTGAAAGTCAAACTCAGTGCATCTCGCCGAGTCGCTAATGCCCTGGACCAAGGGCGGGCTGGCTGGGAGGCGAAGTGGCCCCATCGAAAGTGACTCTGCAGGCGTCAGAGGGACCAGTGTGGGAGCCCTTCTCCCTGTGGGGAGTGGAGGCCTAGAGGGCAGTGCTGTCGACTCAGGCTGAGTTTGGGGGTGGTCCCTGTTTTGGTTTGTACCCCATATGCCATGGCCAAATCCCTGTAGCAATAACTTGCCCAGTGCTGCCGGTCCTGTGGGATGAGGGTCCCACTCCCGGGGCCCTGCTCCTCAGGGCCAGATCCCTGCCCACCAACCGGGCGAGGCTCCGATCCCCTGCCCCATCACAGCTGACTGGCTGAGGCCCCTCCCTGGCTGGTCCTACAGCGCTGACTGCACGTTCTACCCACTCATGACTTCTCCCACAAGGAAGTTTGCCCAGGTGCAGAACTCAGAGCCACATGAAGAGGCTGCAGAAGAAAAGGACGACTCGTCTGGGGCTCTTAGACCCTCAGGAAGCAACCCAAGCTGCCCTGTGCCCACACTCCAGCCTGAATTTCCTATCAGACACAGAGCTTTACAGCAGGAAGACCTGCCCGCCAGAGCCTCGGGGCCCGGCCGCTCCATCTGCCTGCCCTTGGCCTGGATGTCTGCCCGAGCAGATGCAATTTAACTTGCTGCAGGAGGAATATCTATAAAAAGTTAACTATCATCATAAAAGCAGCCTGTCCACCCAGGGCTGGGCTGCTGGAGGGAGGCCCAGCAGCTGGGTCAGTCCCCACTTTGGAGACCATGACTCTAACATCCAGACGTCTCTTCCGTGCCCCCCACTCATCTCAAAAAGATGTCTTGGCCCCTGATGTCAGAGCTCCCCGATGGGAAGCAGGGTGGCCTCGTGCTGCGTGTCACAGCCATCCCTCAGAACTGTCCATGCCATGCAGGGAGGACCCTGAAGCCCCGTGCTCTGGAGAAAGGACCACATCATGGGGCGGCAGGTGTGGCCCAGCGCCCTGCAGCAGAGGTGCAGGCTGAGCTGCCTGAATGGGGCTTCTCTCTGGGGCCTTTGAGTACGAGAGAAAACATGAGAGCAAGGAGGGTGGTGTTCCACAGGTGTGTGGACCGGCGGACAGCTATCTCAGGCCTTTGTTCAAGGGGGTATTAGGGGAAATGGCTCCCACGGAGGAGGCTTTGTTAGTTCGCCCCAGTCCAGCACTGCCTGACCCCCGAGTTGCTAGAATTGCCACTAAGCTTTTAGGGAGGGGAGGTTCCAGGGGTGGCATTCTTGGCTGGGGAGGGTTTATCTCTCAGCCAAATGCTGGTCACAGCTGCGGTGGCCCTGAAGCACCCTCCGTCCTGTGCAGTGCTCAGGGCACCCCCACCCTACCCACCAAGATGGGAAAGGTAAAGATGGCAAGGTGAGCTGTGGCTGGCTCGTGGAGCTCACTGTGCCCATCTTCCGGTATTTGGAGGGCTTTTTTTCTTTCTTCCCACACTGCCCACATCCCCTTTTCTGGGCCTGGCCAACCCCTACATCCTTGGCACACAGCGATGGCCATGGATGAGCACTGGACTCCAGGTGAAGAGAGAGAGACTCAGCTTCATTCCACGCTGGCCTTGTACTGACAGGGGCTGGCTTGGCGATGTGATGGACACATTCCTGGGATATCTTCTGTCTGTAAAATCTGAAGTCAGACTCCCTCGTTCTCTGGGCACAGTCAGAGAGAGGATGGATAGGACATAACAGCCAAGGCAGGGCCTGAAGAAGAGGAGCAGAAGGCCTGAGTGGCCATGCCTGGATACAGAGGGAGGCCTGAGGGGAAGGCTTGCTCCCCATCTCAAGAATGGGTCCCTGTGGGGACATCTGGGGACAAGGGGGTGAGAGGAGCCACAGGGGACCTCCTTCTACCGAGGCTTCCAATGGGCTGGGAGACATGACCACTGTCTGTGGTTACTTCAGGGCTCTCTGTATGTGACTGGAGGACGGAGAGGAAGGTGTGCAGTGGTAGTAACGCTGGCCAGGTGTGGTGGCGCATGCCTGTAGTCCCAGTTGCTTGTGAGGCTGAGATGGAGCATTGCTTGAGCCTAGGAGTATGGGGCTGTAATGAGTTATGATTACACCACTGCATCCAGCCTGGGTGACAAAGCAAGACTCTGTCTCAAAAAAAAATTGTAACACCATTAAGAGCAGATATGGGAGCTAGACTTCCTTGTACACACACACACACACACACACACACACACACACACACACGTTGGAATGCTCAGAAGCTCTGAGCAGGACAGGCAGTAATTATTACACACCTATTGTATCTCCATGAGGCCACTGAGGAAGGAGAGGTCTCTCTGCTGTAGAGGGATTTCAGTTTATCCAGGAAGGACACACACACACACACCAGACACCCAGGCTAGAAGGCAGTGCATGAGTAAGCATTAGGCAGTGGCTGTGTCACCCTGCTCTGTGGATGTGAGTAACGGGGCTGATCAATGCCGTGGGGCAGGCTGGGCTCATGAATCTCTTTCTTCTCAGTTTGGTATGAACCACAGTCGCCCTTTTCCAGACATGAGCATCCACAAATTTTTGAGGTCTTTCTCCCTTGAGATTGTGACAGGCTCCTGCTGTTTAATTTAAATGAGAGTGCATCTCATTTAAACCCTGCTCCCTCACGATGTCCTTGGCAGGCAGGGTCAGCCCCCAGGAGATGGGGAGAGTTTAAGTGGGTTCTACGGTAGAGCACAGAGACACAGCGGCCTGGGGCGGGGGAGGGGAGCTGAGTACACAGGTGGGTGCAGTTATGACCACATCCTCCTGCTTGGCCTCTCAGCTCAGAGACAGGGAGCATTGCTTGAAGTCTTGGGCTGAAGATCCCCATCCCCTGCAAAGAGCTGAGTTAGCAAGTGGAAGGGGTCAGTCACGCTTTGCTGCAGCTAACAATGTGTGTGTGTGTGTGTTTTGTGAGTGTGTATATATATATGTGGTGCATATGTGTGGTGTGTGTGTGTTGTATGTGCATGTGGTGTGTGTATATGGTGTGGGTATGTGGGGTGTAGTATATGTGTGTATGTGGTGTGGTGTGTGTGTGTATGCTTGTGTGGTGTGTGTGGTGTGAACGTGGATACACGTGTGTATGTGTATGCTGTGTATGTGTATGGTGTGTGTGTTATGAGTGTGTTGTGTGTGGTGAGTGTGGGTGTGTGTAGTGTCTGTGTTGTATGTGGTGTGTTGTGAGTGTGTGTTGTGAATCCATCTTGTAAGGGAGGTATGAGTGTGTTGTGTGTTGTGAGTGTGGTATGAGTGTGGTGTGTGTGTTGTGTGTTGTGAGTGTGGTATGAGTGTGTTGTGTGTTGTGAGTGTGGTATGAATGTGGTGCGTGTATTGAGTGTGGTGTGTGTGGTGTGGGTATGGTTTGAGTGTGCTGTGTGTTTTGTGTGAGTGTGGTATGAATGTGCAGTGTGTGTGATGTGTGTTTGAGTTTGTGTGTGGTGCGAGTGTGGTGACTGTGGTATATATATGTGGTGTGTCGTGTGAGTGTGTATTGTGTGTTGTGTGTATTGTGTGTGATGAGTGTGTGATGTGAGTGTGTTGTGTGTGGTGTGTATGTGATGTGAGTGTGTGAGTATAGTATGTGTGTGGTGTCAGTATATGTTGAGTATAGAATGAGTGTGTGTTGTGTGTTGTGAGTGTGGTATGGTGTGAGTTGTGTGTACTGAGTGTGATATGAGTGTGTTGTGTGTTGTGTGGCATGTCTGTGGTGTGGGTGTGTGTTGTTTCATGTGTCGTGTGTTGTGAGTGTGGTGTGTGTGGTGAGTGTGGTATGTGTATGGTGTCAGTGTGTGTTGTGAGTATAGTATGAGTATGTGTTGTTTGTGGTAAGTGTGGTGTGTGTTGTGTGGTGTGTGTTGTGTTGTGAGTCTGGTGTGTTTATGGTGCAAGTGTGTGGTGAGTGTGCTGTGTGCGTGATGTCAATGTTGTGAGTATGGTATGAGTGTGTGTTGTGAATGTGGTGTGTGTGTGGTGGGAGTGTGTGGTGAGTGTGATGTGTGTGTGGTGAGTGTGGTATGTGGTATGTGTGTGGGGTGAGTGTGGTATGTGGTATGTGTGTGGTGTGAGTGTGGTATGTGTGGTGAGTGTGGTGAGTGTGGTGTGTGTGTTGTGAGTGTGGTGTGTGTGGTGTGTATGTGTGGTGTGTGTGGTGAGTGTGGTGTGTGTGTTGTGAGTGTGTGTGGTGTGAGTGTGTGGTGAGCATGGTGTGTGTGTTGAGTGTGGTGTGTTGTGAGTGTGATGTGTGTGGTGTGAGTGTGCTGTGTGTGGTGTGTATGTGTGGTGTGTGGTGTGTGTGGTGTATATGTGGTTGTGTGTGGTGTGAATGTGGTGTATGTGGGGTGTGTGGTGAGTGTGGTGTGGTGTGTCTGTGGTGTGTGTGCTGTGAGTGTGGTGTGTGTGGTGCAAATGTGTGGTGAGTGTGGTGTGTCTGTGGTGTGTGTGCTGTGCGTGTGGTGTGTGTGGTGCGAATGTGTGGTGAGTGTGGTGTGTCTGTGGTGTGTGTGCTGTGAGTGTGGTGTGTGTGAGTATGTAGGGATGGCTCCTTGAGAAGGACCAGGACATCTGCCGCTGTGGCCTGGCAGAGGACCCCTGCTCAGCATGGCCAGGGAGGGTAATGAAAGGAAAAGTGACAAAGCCTGAGTCCCCTTTGCTGGCCAAGCTCCCGCCCTTCTATGGATGGAAGAGGTTTCCTTGGCTGGCTCAGTGCAGATGGGGAGGGAGGTGAAGAGGAGGGCCAGGTTCAGCCTGATATTTGTAAAACCTCTTCCACTGAGTGTCTCTGGGCCCAGGTCCCTGTGGAAAGCCTTCAACATCACGTAGCGAATTCCTGAGTGTTCCTAGCTCCTGTCTGTCTGTCTGTAATACACTTCACTCCCGGGCCACTCTGGTCCCCTCCCCATCACAGCCAGGTGGAAGACAGGACACAGGAAACTGGAGAGTCAAGTGGCAGAGCCAGGGTTGTGGGGAGGGCAGGGGTGTCTAATGTCCCGGCTGGAGGCTGCCCTCAGCATGCTCTGGCCTCCTCGGGAACTTTCACATCCCCTGACCATCTTCTGCCCAAGTCTCTGGTGGGGGATAGGCATCCCGGGTGACATCCCAGGGTCTCTAAGCCACGTCCAATTCTCCCGCATTCCAGGGAAGGCATGAGAAGTAGGGTTGCCTGATAAAACACAGGTCACTCAGTTCCATTTAAATTTTAATTAAATAATAAATACTTTTTTAGGATGAATATGTTCCCAATATTGCATGGGACATACTTATACTTAAAAAATCCTATTGTTTGTCTGAAATTCAAATTAAACTGGGAGTGCACTGATTTTATTTGCTGAATCTGGCAAGCTTCACTTAAAGGGAACGACAGTTATTGTCATGCATCATTGAGAGAGCCCTTTCTATGTTCCAGGTACTGGGCTGAGCCTTTGAGTGTGTTATTTCCATTTACACCTCCCCACACCACTACCCTGAACCCCAAACTTGGATCCTTTGCTTACCACATGTAAGATTTCTGCCTTGTCTTTTGCACACCACCTGTACAATTTCTTATTTCTTTTCTTTAAATCAATTTTCTTTTATATCAGTTACCTTTAGATAAGCTTAAATCCGCTAACTTTTTTTAGACGGAGTCTCGCTCCGTTACCCAGGCTGGAGTGCAGTGGTGCAACGTTGGCTCACTGCACCTCCGCCTCCTGGGTTCAAGCAATTCTTGTGCCTCAGCCTCCCGAGTAGCTGGGATTACAGGCACGTACCACCACGCCCAGCTAATTTTTGTATTTTTAGTATAGACAAGGTTTCACCACATTGGCCAGGCTGGTCTCCAACTCCTGATCTCAAGTGATCTGCCTGCCTTGGCCTCCCAAAGTGCTGGGATTACAGGCATGAGCCACCGCGCCCAACCCAAACCCACTTACCTTTAAAGGAAGTTTTATATTCATTATCACTTGTCATGAATATCTGCAAAATTCAGTACGATGTTATCATTGTATTGCCTTTCGGATGCCCTTTTTGAGGCTGAGGCATTCTGAGGAGGAGACTTTCTCCTTATGTCATCAGGCAAATTTGGGGGAAAAGAAAAAAGGGATGTATTTCTCACTATGTTATTTATCATTGTTTAAAGGTATGGCCATGTACTATATAAAATAATCTATCATACCACCCCAAATCTCCAGTGATGAGCATTCTACAATTTGGGGAACTTGGTAGAATTATTATCCCTATTTTGCAGTTGGGAAAATAGCTATGATCACAAAGCTAAGAAGCTAAATAATCTTCATTAGTACCAAACCCTGAATCTGCATGGTGCAACCGAAATGAGTATTTCAGGCAAAGAAGAGTAGGTGGGATTCCAGCCGTGAGTCTCCTTCTTTCTGAGGAACTCCCTCATCCTGCTTCCCACTGACACCTCTGCAAGATGCTGGCCCCAGGGTACCCATCCTGCCTCGCTTGGCCTCCTCACACAGGCTAGGTCTTTTACTGACACCATGATGAATCCTGAGTGAGATAAGCAAGGAAATAAACAGAGAAGCCAAGGATCACACACATGATAAACTCCCCTAGCTCACTTCTAACCCACAGATGTGATCTACAGCTCTCTTGCTCCTCAGGCTCCCAGACCATCCCACTCCGCACCCCACCTCATGTGCCTCCCAAACCACTGGCCCGACCCCTCAATTCCTGCTCTCTGGCCTGCCTCCCTGTAGAGGGTGTCATTATTCACCCTGGAACCTGAGGGCTGGTCTCCTTCATTCCTGAACCCCTTTGCTGCCCAAGCCAGGAATTTGGTTCTAACCAGTCTCCTCCATACTAATCTCTCACCTTGTCCTCAGGGAATGCTCAGCCACCTGACCCCCATCACCAAACCCATAGTTTAATGACCCTCTAATCTTTTAATGACCATAGCATCCATTTACCAAGTTGGGCTCTGCCTTGGTCACAGAGCCAGGCACTTGTCCCCCTGAAGAGAAAGGCAGACCTTGCCTGTGACAGACAAAGATGAAGCAGCGGGGAAATGGGGCTGTAGTTAGGTCTTCTTGGAGCCTCGCTGGGAGGCCAGGAACTGTCTGCTGGGTCCACACTCTGTAAGCCAAAGGGAGACCCTGCAGCTCCACTGTCTGCACATTCGAGAGCCTTCCCTGGAGTGGAAGCTTTCTGTGCCTGGCACTTGGACCTGGGGGACCCGCATTTGGCCCCAGGCTTCCTTCTCTGAGCTTCAGTCTCTTCTTCCACAAGACAGTTCAAACATTGCTTACCACAGAAGGTTCCTGAGTATCTCATGTGAACAGCTATGTGAAAGGCTGTGTTCCTATATGATAGTGACCAACTTGATATTATATGTTAACAAAATCCTCTGTACAGCACAATTAAAATTCACAAAATATTTAGTACCAGTCCTAAAAAGAAATGCAAGAAACTTACAAAGAAAACAGTAAAACTTAATGATGGACATAAAAGACCTAAATAAAGGGAGATATATATTCTACTACATTGGGAAATTTCAATATTATAAAAATATCCCTTATAAAATTATCTATAAATTTGGCGCAATCCCAACAACCATCTCACTGGAATTCTTCATTAAAATAGACAGATGATGATTAATATTCACATGGAAAAAATGCATAAGAAAAGACTTTTGAAAAGGAAGAACAGTAAAGGGGAACTTATCCTGCCAGATATCAAAACTATTAAAAATGTGGCCAGGCATGGTGGCCCCCACCTGTAATCCCAGCACTTTGGGAGGCCGAGGTGGGCAGATCACTTGAGGCCAGGAGTTTGAGACCAGCCTGGCCAACATAGCAAAACCCTGTCTCTACAAGAAATACAAAAAATTAGCCGGGCATGGTGGTGTGCACCTGTAATCCCAGCTACTCAGGAGGCTGAGGTACAAGGATCACTTAAACCCAGAAGGTGGAGGCTGCAGTGACCCGAGATGCCGCCATGCACTCCAGCCTGGGTGACAGAGCAAGATTCTGTCAAAAAAAAAAGTATTAAAAAGGTAAATTGAGGCACAACAAAATGTTAATAAGTTTATTTGAGTAGACAGAGATTTATGAATTGGGTTCCAAACCAGAAGTGGTTGGGAAGCTTCACTGAGGGACTACAAGAGGGAGGCTTTTATAGGATGAAAAGGGAAGTAAAGCAAAAAAAATTTGATTGGTTGTAGTTATACACTTGCCTTCTTTGGCTTATCCTGTTGGAAACTGTTCCCAGTTATATAAGTTTGTTGGCTGCTTCCGATTAGTTGAGCTTAAATTCTATTTTTCTTTGACATAGGCATTTGGGGCCAGGTATAGTGGCTCACACCTGTAATCCCAGCACTTCAGGAGGCTGAGGCAGGATGATTGCTTGAACCCATGAGATCGAGGCTGCAGTGAGCCAAGATGGCACTACTATACTCCAGCCTGGGCAACAGAGCAAGACCCTGTCTCAAAAAAAAAAAAGTATTTATAAGAAATGGCCCAGGTTAAGTTTCACTCATGTTTACAAATCAAACAAGGTTAAGGTCACTTATCCTAACTGCCTTTGTCTGTGTAGGGATTCTTCAGGTCTGGTCTCCATTTTAATTTACTTTAACAAAACATATTATGAAGTTAGAGAATTAAAAATAATATAGGATTAAATAGACAAATAGACCAAAGTAATAGGATAGTGAGTGCACAAACAGACCCTCGAATATGTAGAAACTTAGTGTATGATACAGTTGGTATTTCAGATGAGTGACAAAACATTCAATTAAATATTTTAGGAGAAACAACTGCAGAAAATGAAAGTCAAGTTTAATTTCTACTTCACACCAGTCATAATAATAAATTCCAGGTTACTTAAAGAACTAAATATATCTTTTTAAACTGCAAAAGAATTAGGATAAAATGTAGGAGATTGTTTTTGTGGTTTTGTGATAAAGCATATGAAGTAAATAATATATACACATACTTTTTTTGAAAAAGAAGAACTAAGTGGGAATTAGTCTACCCAATTCCAAGATGTTATATAGCTATGATAATTAGGACTGTGTGATATTGGTGGAGGGATGGAAGCATAAATCAATGGGAAAGGATGGAAAATCCAGAAATAGACCTACACAGATATGCGCAACCGAGTTTTGAAAAAGATGCAAACGCAATCCAATGGATGAAGGATAGCCTTGTAAACAAATGGTCCTGGAACCACTGAACATCCATAGGTAAAAGTGAACCTTGACCTAGACTCCAGGCTGTATAAAAAAATTAACTCAAAATGAATCACAAACATAAATGTGAAACCTAAAACTACAAAACTTTTAGGAAGAAAATACATGGGAGAAACATTTTTGTGGTTTTGGGCTAGACAGAGTTCTCAGCCTTGACACCAAAAGTATTATCCATAAAAGGAAACATCAATAAATTGGGCTTCATCAAAACTGAAAACTTTTGCTTTGTGAAAGACCCTGTACAGAGAATAAAAAGACAATCTAAAGATTGGGAGAAGATATTTGCAAAACACAGAGGACTAGAGCCTAGAATACATACATTTCTCTCAAAACTGAACAATAAAAAACAAAGAATCGAATTCAAAAATGGGCAAAAGACATGAACAGACATTTAGCCAAAGAGAGTGTACTCCTGGTACTCCTGGTTATAAGCACATGAAAAGATGGTCAACATCCTTAGCCATTAGGAAAGTGCCAAGACAACCACATGAGATATCAACACACATCTATCAAAATGGCTAAAATAAAAAATAGTGACAACATCAAATGCTGACCAGGATATGAAGAAATTGGATCACTTATACTTCGCAGATGGGAATGTAAAATGGCATAGCCACTGGAAAATCATTTGGAAGTTTCTTAAAAAACTAGGTGTGCAACTATCACAAGTCTTAACAATTGTACTTTTCAATGTTTATCCCAGGGATATGAAAACTTATGTTCACACAAAAACTTGTACAAAAATATCTGCAAACTGGAAACAACCCAGATATCCTTCAATGAATGAATGGTTAAGCAAATGGAGTGCAAGCACACCATGGATTACTTCTCAGCAATAAAAGGGAAGAAGCTATCGATACACAAAACCACCTGAATGAATCTTCAGGGCATTATGTTGGCTGAAAAAAAGTCAATCTCAAAAGGTCCCATACAGTTGATTCTATTTATATAACATTCTTGAAATGACAAAATTATAGAAATGGAGAGCAGACTAGTGGTTGCCAGAGTTAAAGAGGGGATGGCAGTGGACAAAGGAGTGGGGGAAAGAGAAGTGGGTGTGGTTCTAAAAGGGCAACACAAGGGCTCTTTGTGGTGGGGAAATCATTCTGTATCTTGACTGTATCAACGTCGAGTCCAATATCAGTGTCCTAGTTGTGATATTCCAAGATGTTACCATTGGGGGAAACCGGATTAAGGGAACATGGATCTTCCTGTATTACTTCTTACAACTGCATGTGAAGCTACAATTATCTCAAAATTAAGACTTTAATTTAAAAAACTACAAAAGAATTAGAAGAAAATATAGGATATTATTTTTATGAATTAGTGATAGGGAAAGCTTGTGCAATAAGGCACTTAATATAAAAGCATTAAGGAAGATATGAATAAATTTAACGACATCAAAGAGTACCATCAACATGACCCAGTGCAGTGGTTCACACCTGTAATCCCAGCACTTTAGGAAGCTGAGAGGGGAGGATTGCTTGAGTCCAGGAGTTGGAGACCAGCCTGGTCAATAGAGTGAGACCCTGTCTCCACAAAAAAAAAAAGCCAGGTGTAGTGGTGCATATGTGTGGTTTCAGCTACTTGAGAGGCTGAAGCGGGAGGATCACTTGAGCCCAGGAGTTTGAGACTACAGTAAGCTGTGATTGCACTACTGTACTCCAGCCTGGGTGACAGAGTGAGACTCTGTCTCTTAAAAAAAAAAAAAGACACCATCAACAAAATTGAAAACTAGCAACCAACTAAAAAAATTGTAATAATTACAATATACAAACAACATTCAAAATATGTAAAAATCTGCTATAAGTCAATATGAAAAAGTAAACAATGCTTAGGAAAACAGGAAAAGAATATGAAAGGAAAAATCACAAGAGGAGAGATTCAAATGGCCAAAAATCTATGGGAAGCTGCAATATCCCTGATAATAAAGGAAATGTAAATTAAAATAATGAAAAAACATTTTTTATTCGACCAGACAAGCAAAATAGTAAGTTTGATTGAATGTAGGGCAGATGAAGATGTGGGCAGTAGTCTCATATTCTGCTGATGGGAGTATCAATTGGTAAAGTCACTTTGGAGGGCAATTTGATAGAATCTATTAAAACTTCTATTTCCCTTATGATCCAGCAAATCTACTTCTTGGTGTACCTCTGGAGAAACAGTCATGTGTGCACGAGGCAGCAGGCAAAGAATCCTTGCTGCAGCTTTCTAGTAAAGAACTGGAAATGACCTAGCTGTCATCACTGGGGAATGGCTGAATAAACTCTGGTGCATCCATTCTGTGGAATACTGAACGTACAGCACACAGGAAAGACACAAAGCAAGTTGCTAAATAATACACAGAGAATGATAGACACCATTAATGTAAGCACACACACACACACACAACTTCTGGAGGTAATTTTCATTTTATATGCATAACCACAAACCTCAAATGGTCATGCAACACAGCCGGGTAATTCTAAAATGTTTCTCTACTAAGTTTCTTTTCTCTGTCTAAAATGATTATTTCGTACATTCTCGCTCTTCCCATCCCCCACATCCTCTCCCCACGTCACATCCAGCTGATGACCTTTCTTAACACTTCAACCAAAAAAACCCAGAAGCCCTCAGCCAGGGACAACTGTGCCTCCCACGATGAAATCGCCAATCCTCCTTGAATATGTGCCAACAACAATTTTCCCTCACCCTGCCAACCTCTCAGCCTCCCTCCTGCTCCTTTCAAAGGACAATCCCTTCACCTGCTATCACCTTGCTGAGGACTTTGCTCCTGCAATTATCCTCTCTCTCCTGCATCATTAGATTCCCCCTCCCTACTCTGTCATTCTTGTCAGTACACAAACATGCTCCAGTATTTCCCATATTCAAAAACAAATCTCCTTTCACACATACCTTTCTCACTATGTCTTTGCTCAATGGGGTAGACAGACAACTGTCCACCAAAAATCCACGGCCTCTTTGCACAGTGTAGTGCTGCTGCTGGCAGTGGCTGCCCAGCCAAGGACCACACTTCCTGGCTCCTTTTGCATACTCATGAGAACATGTGACTGAGGTCTGGATAACAGAATGTGGGCAGAAGTGGTGTACGCAACTTCCAGGTATGGCCCATAAAATTCTTCTACACGATCCTCCATATTCTCTTTCCTCTTCTGCCAGGTTGATGTTGACACCTAGGGCAACTAAGGGTGCTGTGTGTTGAAGAAGATGTCTAGGCCATAAGGTAAGTGCTTAGATCCCTGAATAACTGTATGGAGCAGAGCTCTATCCTCACTTCTCCCACTCCTATCACTGATTGGAATTTAAAAGAGAAGAAATAAACTTCTATTTAGTCAAGCTAAATAGATTTTGGTGGTTTATGTGTTACAACATCTGGCCTTATCTTAATTAATACACCATTTATAACAAGATTTCTCAAAAGGGTTGCCTCTATTTCCTGGAGCCAGATCAACCAGTTTTGTCTGGGTTCAAATTCCAGTTTTGTCATTTCCTAATGTGTGTGATCTTGGACAAATTACTTAAAGATCTATTCCTTATCTGTAAAATAGGATAATAATTGTACCTATCTCAAAGGGCTGTTGCACAGATTAATATATGTAAAGCACTTAGATCAGTGTCTGGCACATAGTAAGTTTTATATAAGTTCAGCTATTATTATCATGTTAAGCCACTCACGCCCATTCCAGCTCCCTTCTGTCTCCACCACTCTACTGAAACTGCTCTTGTCAAGATGGGCTCTATGCTGCAAAATGCAAATGTACATTTCTCTTGCCTCGCTTAATTCAACTCTCAGCAGCAACTGACACAGGTGTCCGCTGCCTCATTTAAAAAAGTATCATGGAAGATTGCAAACACACACAAATGTATTTCCTTTTTGAAATAATTTTCTTCCTTTTCTGGTTGCAGCTCTGTGCAGTGAGGATCTCTAATGTATGCCTGTAGCCATGCTGTCCAAGGGCCCACTGCAGTATGCGCAGGTCTTTGGATGCAAGAAAAGGGCCACAGCTGTGGCGCCCGGCAAACACAGCAATGGCCTCATCAAGGTGAATGGGTGGCACCTGGAGATGATCGAGCTGCATATGCTACAATACAAGCTGCTGGAACCACTTCTGCTCTGGGCAAAGAGCGATTTGCTGGTGTGAACATTTGTGTTCATGTGAAGGGTGGTAGTCATGTGGCCCAGATTTGTGCTGTCCATCAGTCCATCTCCAAAGCCCTGGTGGCCTATTACCAGAAATATATGGATGAGGCTTCCAAGAAGGATATCAAAGACACCCTCATCCAGAATGACCAGACCTTGCTGGTAGCTGGCCTCCTTCGCTGTGAGTCCAAAAAGTTTGGAAGCTCTGGTGCCTGTGCTCGCTACTAGAAATCCTACCAATAGGCCAGGCACAGTGGTGCACACCTGTAATCCCAGCACTTTGGGAGGCTGAGGTGGGCGGATCACCTGAGGTCAGGAGTTCGAGACCAGCCTGGCCAACATGGTGAAACCCTGTCTCTACAAAACTACAAAAATTAGCTGAGCCTGATGGCGGGTGCCTGTAATCCTGGCTACTTGGGAGGCTGAGATGGAAGAATCACTTGAATCTGGGAGGTGGAGGTTGCAGCGAGCCAAGATTGTGCTATTGCATTCCAGCCTGGGCAAGAGAGTGAGACTCCATTTCAAAAGAAAGAAAGAAAGAGAGAGAGAGAGAGAGAGAGAAGAAAGAGAGAAAGAAATCCTAGCAATAAGCTCATCACAAGGATCAGGATTAACTTGTATAATAAACGATGTTTGAGGGATTTTTAAGTTTCAAAAAAAAAAGAAAAAAAAGAATTTTCTTCTTGGATGTTATGATTTTTCACTCTCTTCAGCCTCTTCACCCCACTTCTCTGGCCATCCCTTCTCAAGGTCCTCTGCTGGCTCCTCCTGCTCTTCTCAACCTCTAAATGTTGGTATGTCCTGGGCTATATTGAATGTCCTTCTGTAGCCGTATTTCCTTCCTGGATGATCATGAAATATCGTGAGGACTCCCACTGTTCTATATCACATCCCACCTCTTTCTGAGACTCCAAACTCATATATCTCAACTCTCTGACATCTCACCCAGACATCACAAACGTAACAGGTCCAAAACAGAACCTTCTGTTTCAGGGCTGCCCTTTCTTACTCCGCCCATGTCTTCTCTAAACTGGGCAACAGCACTGCCCCACTCAACTGCTCTAGTCAAAAACCCAAGAATCATTATCGGTCCCTTTATTTCCTTTACCCTTTCATCACAACCATCACAAGACCCTAAAGTTCAATTTGAAGCCATTCACTTCTCCCTTCACTCTTGCTGCCCTAATTCAAGCCGTCCCCACCCTACTTTGAATATCTTCAACATTCTCCAAACTCGTCTCTACGTGGAAATCCTAGGAATATTCTAAAAATACAAGTCATTCACATTCACTCTCTTGCTAAAAGTCCTCTAATCTTTTTTTTTTCAGAGATGGGGTCTCACTCTGTTGCTCAGGCTGGAGTGCAGTGGTGGGATCATGGCTCACTGCAGCCTCAACCTCCCAGGCTTCCTGCTCTGTTGTCCAGGCTGGGGCGCAATGGTGCAATCGTAGTTCACTGCAGCCTCAAACTTCTGGGCTCAAGTGATCCTCCTGTCTCAGCCTTCTGAGTAGCTGGGGTTATAGGTGTGCATCACCATGCCTGGCTAATTTTTTAAAATTCTCTTTTTGTAGGGATGGGGACTGGCTATGTTGCCCAGGCTGATCACAAACTCCGAGCCTCTAGCAATCCTCCCACCTTGGCCTCCCAAAGTGTTGGGATTATAAGCACAAGCCACTGCATCTGGCTCTAACATCTTCTAATTGCTTTTAAAATAAAACCCAAATGCCTTCTGTACTCATTCATTCTTGCACTGCTATAAGGAAATGCCTGAGAGTGTGTAATTTACAAAGAGGTTTAATTGTCTCACAGTTCCACAGGCTGTACTGGAAGTATAGTGGCTTCTGCTTCTGGGGAGGCCACAGGAAACTTACAATCATGGCAAAAGGTGAAGGGGGAGCCAGCACTTCTCATGGCCAGAGCAGAAGGAAGAGAGAGGGGGGAAGGTGCCACATACTTTTAAGCAATCAGATCTCATGAGAACTCGTTCACTATCTGTTCATTATCCTGACACAGTACCAAGGGGGGAGTCTGTCCTCATGATCCAGTCATTTTCCACCAGGCCCCACTTCCAACATTGAGGATTACAATTGAACATGAAATTTGGGTGGAATACAGATCCAAACCATATCACCTTCCCTGGTCTCCAGCACTCCGATCTCACTCTCATTCTCCTCCTGTGATCACTGCTGGCCAGGCATTCCAGGATTCTTTCTGCCCTCATACAGGACAAGTTTGTTCCTGCCCCGCTGTTACCTCTGTCTGAACGCTCTTCCTCCAGGTCTTCAGCTGGATGGATGGGTTTAGCTCTCAGTTCAAATGTCTCCTCCCCAGCATGGCCTTCTCTCCCCTCCCCAACAGATCTTTGTATCGTATCATCCTGTTTATTTCCTTAGCAATGCTTTTCACAATCTAGATTTTCTTATTTACTGTTGCATGCATCCTCCCCTCTCCAACTAGAATGTAAATTCCATCAGGGTAAGGACCTTGTCTGTGTTGCTACCTCTGTGTCCCCAGGGCCTATGGCAATGCCTCACTTATAGTAGACATTCAATAAGTATTTGTTGAATGAAGGAAATTCATGCAGATATATGGGGAAAGATCTGGATGAATAAATACCAAACAGATAAGGCCTTATCTCATGGGATCATGCTGGGATTTGCGAATGGAGCTTAAAGTTGACTTTAGCTTAACTGTATTGCTTGAAAAAAAATTTTAATTTTGTGAGGGGTCTATATTCATGTATTGCTTGTGACATTAAAAATAAAGCAAATACTTGTAAGTATTTTGTAAACTGGGAAGTATTATATACAAGAGCAAGGAAATTGCATCAAAGGACACTATCAGGAGAGTGAAAAAACAACCCACAGAATGAAAGAAGACATTTGCAAATCATGTATCTGATAGAAATTAATATTCAGAGCATACAAAGGACTCCTACAACTCAACAACAACAACAAAAAAAACACCTTGCTGGGCATAGTGGCTCACACCTGGAATCCCAGCACTTTGGAAGGCCGAGGCAGGTGGATTGCTTGAGGCCAGGAATTCGATATCAGCCTGGCCAACATGGCGAAGCCTGTCTCTACTAAAAATACAAAAATTAGCCGGGCGTGGTGACACACACCTGCAATCTCAGCTACTCGGGACGCTGAGGCATCAGAATCGCTTTAACCCAGGAGGCAGAAGTTGCAGTGAGCCAAGATTGTGCCACTGCACTCCAGCCTGGGCAACAGAGCGAGACTGTCTCAAAAACAAAAACAAAAACAAAAACAAACACCTCAATTCAAAAACAGTCAAATGGCTTGACTAGACATTTATCCAAAGAAGATATACAGATGGCAATAAGCACATGAAAAGATGCTCAACATAATAAATCATTAAGGAAATGCAAATCAAAACCACAATGAGCTATCACTTCACTTCATTAGAATGGCTATTATTTTAAAATAAAGGGAAATAACTAGTGTTGGTGAACAAGTATAGAAATTAGAACCCTCATGCATTGTTGGTGGGAATTTAAAATGGTGCTGCCACTGTGGAAAATAATTTGGGAATTCCTCAAGAATTGACACATAGGATTGCCATGTGATCCAGCAATTCAACTCCTAGTTATACATGCAAAAGAAGTGAAAGCTGTGATTCAAACAGGTGCGTGTACATCAGCGTTCATTGCAGCATTATTCATAATAGCTAAAATGTAGAACAACCCAAATGTTCATCACAGATAAATAGATAAAATATGATGTGTGTGTATATATATATATATATATATATATACACACACACAATGGAATACTATTCAGCCTTAGAAAGAAATAAAATTCTTTCTTATATTGAATAAAATAAAATTCTTTCTTAAAACACAAGCTACAACGTAGACGAACTTTTAAATAAGATGCTGAATGAAATAAGCGGAACATAAGAGGACAGAGATGGTATGATTTCACTTACATGAGGTCCCTGGAATAGTCAAATTCGTAGAGACAGAAAGTAGAATAAGGTTACCAGGGGCTGGGAGGAGTTATTGTTTAATGGGCATAGGGTTTCAGTTTGGTATGATGAAAATGTTCTAGAAGTGGATAGGATGATGGTTGCACAACTTGTAAATGTACTTAATGACGCTGAATTGTACACTTAAAAATAATTAAAATCATACATTTTATATAATGTATATTTTACCCCTGACCCCACCCCCAACTCCCCACCCAACACACACACACAGAGTGAGGGTATTTATTGTTAGTCTTTCTCCCCGCTATGCATCAGGACCCACCCAGCTTACTAGGGCAGATTACAAAAAAAAAAAAAAAAAATTACCTTGTTTTCAAAGACATCCCCTCCCCCAGCTAGCACCAAAATAGAGGTGAAAATGACATCTGGCTCTAGGAGTGCGTGGGAGTTGGACGACTGGCCGTCTCGGTTCTCAGCAGGCATCAGCCGCCAGCCCCTGCACCCTGCATTCTGCATGCTTTGGGCTGCTGTGGGCTTTGTCCATTTTCAGGAATTCTGGAATATTTGGGGCCTCAGAGGACTCAGGCTACCTCCTATGCCAATCAGCCTGACCATGCCCAAGACAGTCCATGTGTGGGCACAGATGACAAAACTTTTGCCAGCAGATAGGAAGTGACAGGGTGGTCTGTGGGGAATTCATTTGTCAGTTGGCAGCTTGTCCCAGCCCTGTCTCTGGCCTCCACATGTCCAGGTTTTAAGCTTGCCCCATGCAGCTGAGGTTTGCATTGAGATCTGCCAGGCAGTCCCTGCAAATCAAGCCACAAAAAAGAAACAGCCTTTGGCTCCCAAGAAGATTTTACACATCCCTCCAGACTTTCATAGCCTACGTCTTCTGTCTGTCACCATATGCTTTAGGAAACGTATGAAGTGTAAATCAAATTAACCTCATGGAGTGTCCCTTCACTTAACAGAGCATGTGTATTCCATCAGAAATGGCTACAAGGCAATGGACTTTTAAGTGAATCTCATTTCCCCACTGATTTTCATTTTAAAATCAGGAATGTGTTCTTTTGGAGAAAAAACAATTGGCCATCTAGACATGACTTAAAAAAAATCATACTTGAGGATATAGAAGATCTTAACATGTTATGCACACAGAAAAGGGTAAATATTGGATGAAATCTCAGTAAGATTTGCATATTAACAATACTACACTATCAAACAGAAGATGAATCATGGGATGCCACATTTAAGTAAGTCCCACTCATGTGACAAAAAGAATGGAAGTGAGACTGCAGCACAGTGGTAGAAACCCAGGTACAACACCACTGGCCCCTCTTTATCCCCACTGTAAGATCCAGTGGCCCTAAAGCACCAGGAATGTGGCTAAACTACCTACTGACTTGAAGTGCCTTCCTCATCTGTGGATTCCTGACCCATTTTTTTTTCTCAGTTCCTCTAAGTACTTTATTATGAAAATAGCTCAGAAGAAATTGACCTTTTTAAGACTTGCTTGGCCATTTATTCATTCGACCCACACTTATTGCACACCATAATAAGGCCATTCTTGAGAGCATCAAGGTGAGCAAACAGGAATAGTCCTTGCCCTCATGGAGCTTACAGTCTTGGGTCAGGCGTCAGACAAATAATCGCACATACATACATGTATGTACATTTAAAATAAAGAAATAAGTAGGTAAGGAGTAGGAGCGTTTCACAAGGAGGATGTGGCTCAGAGAGGGGTGAACTGAGGAAGCAAGGTATGAACTGAAGTCTGAAATATTCATTCATTTATTCGTCCTCTCAACAGTTGTTTATTGAGTGTTAACTGTGTTCCAGCTATGGGGATACAATGTTGAACCAGCCAGACAAAATCTCTGCCCCATGGAGCCTCCTTCTAATGAAAGTTACTGAGTGGTGCTGGGAAGAGATGCCTTGGGAAGGACAATTAGAGGGAGAGCAATAGCCAAGGGTCTGAGACAGGAAGGAACATGGTGGCCCCGAGGGACAGCCAGGTGCTATTTGGCTGGAGCCCAGAGAGGAAGGGAAAGGCAACTACAAATGAAGCTGGGTAAACAGGGACCCAGACCAGAGCCTTGTGACTTAGGGTGCCGATAATGCAATCACTAGAATGCGTCTGTATTAACAGTTCTGTTCCGAAACATAAAGCTTTGGTTTTATGCCCACTGGTGAACGGTGGCTTGCTGGGCTTCACAAAGCACTGACTGCTCTCAGACGTTATCTGATGGACTGAGTTTTGCTTTCTCATGCGCATGTGTAACAGATGGCAGCAGCCTGGGCAAGCCAGCCACCGCAAGATGGACTCATAGGACACCCGAATTCCTCAACATTTTTTTCTCTGTGATGTTGCTTTGAGGAGATCTTTTACTTGGTTTGCTACTTCCTAACCTTGTGACCGTGTGCAAGTTACATAACCACTCTGAGCCTCAGATTCTTTGGTATAATACGGGGGATAATAATACCTCCACTTTGGGGTGGTTGTGATGACTCATTGAATGAAATGCAAAAATCTGTGTGAAATTGCCCAGCACACTGCCCAGAACTCAGTAGACATGCCTCACAAATGTTATTTCCTTTCACTGACCTCTTGTTTAATTTGAAGTTTTGTTAAGTGAATTTCTGTTAAGCAAGGGATCTCTGTTCTCAAATTACAGTAACTGCTACTTTCCGGGGCAAGAGGTTATATTAGCAAGACTTCCTCTTGTAACAGTTAGGGAATGGACAGCCAGGGGAGATGGGGGAGAGGGTGCTTTGAGCTGTTGGGGTGAGACTCCGTCCTGAAACAAAGAAGCAACAAAGAGAAAACCCGGGCCTTTGTCTTCCTTCTTTTGTGGGGACCAAAATCATATGCGCCTATGTGTGTGAGAGGCCACCACGTGACCAAGCCAGCACTTTAAAGTCGGTGCCTCTGAACACTGGTCTCAAAACAAAATAATTGCATACAGACATTCCTTTTGATCACATTCTAATACCGATTTACAACTCTGCTTCCTTGTAACCCCAAAGAAAGCCCTAATCATGGAGCACATACCAGAGCTTCGAATTTTGAGTGTGTAGGAGTGGGTGTCTGTAAGTATGTATTTGTATAGGGGGCAGTGAGTGGCGGTTTACTAATGTCTAGCTCCCCTGCCCCAGATTAAGCTGTCGATGTGGCTAGTGGGATATTTTCATCTGAATGGCTCAGTTGAGCACTGGAGGCAGAAGACAATTTTTTCTGTGGTTTGCTCCAGGCCAGGCAGTTTTTCCATTCTGT
The DNA here is from genome assembly GCF_000001405.40 of Homo sapiens. NCBI lineage: Eukaryota > Metazoa > Chordata > Mammalia > Primates > Hominidae > Homo > Homo sapiens. Next base: position 20,148,635 of record NC_000002.12, on the reverse strand, counting down.
TCTTTTAGTATGATCATGATTACTTCATTACCTACCCCGATGGGGTTTCTTTGGGTCCCAGTCTGTTTTTAATAAGAAGCAGACTAAAAACAAAGTTTTGGTTGTGTTTGAAATCTTCAGCTTTTTTTTTCTGAAATAATAGGTTAAAGAATTTTATTTGTCTTCTGAGGTTCTGAGGTTGGCTCAGAAATCCTCTGACCCAAGCCTTTGGGGAACAGGGAAATGGCACTTAGAATACAACAATCAAATGCAGATTCCTGGGCGCTGCCCCAATCTGCTGTATCTGAAGCTCCAAGGTGAAGCCCAGAAACCAATGTTTTTAGCAGTAATATCAGTTGATTCCTGTGAATAAGAATAAAAGTTTAAGGTTTGAGAACATATGAGTATAGAAAGAAAAATCCATCAATCCATATTTCTTTTTAATTACGATATAATTCAAATGCCATCAAATTCGCCACTTAAGTGCACAATCAGTGGTTTTTAGTATAGTCACAAGGTTGTGCCACCATCACTACTACCCAATTCCAGAACATTTCTATCCTCCCCAAAAGAAAACCTGTGTCTATTAACAGCTAGTCCTGGCCAGGAGCTGTGGCTCACGCCTATAATCCCAACAATTTGGGAGGCTGAGGTGGGCGGATCACTTGAGGTCAGGAGTTTGAGACCAGCCTGACCAACATGGCGAAACCCTGTCTTTACTAAAAATACAAAAAAAAAAAAAAAATTAGCCAGGCATGGTGGCACACACCTGTAATCCCAGCTACTCAGGGGGCTGAGGCAGGAGAATTGCTTGAACCTGGGAGGCGGAGGTTGCAGTGATCCAAGATCAGGCCACTGCACTCCAGCCTGGGCGACAGAGCAAGACTCTGTCTCAAAACAAAACAAAAGTTAATCTTAATTTCCCCCTTCTTCTAGCCCTTGGCAACCACTAATCTACTTTTTGTCTCTATGGATTTGTCTATTCTGTACTTTGCATGTAAATGATAGCATACAGTTTATGTGGTCTTTTGTTCCTGGCTTCTTTCACTTAGAATAATGTTTTTAGGGTTATTCATATTGTAGCATGTATCAGTACTTCATTTCCTTTTCATGGCTGAATAATATTTCATTGTAAGGACACACCACTTTTGTTTATCTATTCGTCAGTTGATTATCAATCAATACTGAGTACCGTTTATATGCAAGACAGTCTGCAGGGCTGTCCAGGGGATGGACATGAGAGAGAAAGGACAGTTCTCCAATAGTACAGGAAATCAAGAAGAGGTGATGGAGAACACAGCGCCTGGCACAAAGCAGAATGAGTGAGTGAATGAATGAATGAAAGCCCGCACACAGGAAAAGAAACTTAACTTGTAGAGGCAGCATGTGCTGGTGCCCCGTGTCGGGGTGGATGACGCTGCCCAAGTTCAGGACCAGCAGTGATAGTCACTCACTCAGGTGTGAGAGGCTTTACTGTAAGTTGGGTCTGGGCCCTGGGGTCTCCAGAGATTAATCAGACATGACCCATGCCATGGAGCTCATAGACTGTGAAGAAGGCAAAACAGGGCGTGGATCATAGATGACATTCAATAGTGGGGGAGGGAGGGGGCAGTAGTGGGTAGAGAGGAAGACCCTTTCTGGCTAAGAGGTCAGGAAAGATGTAGGAGGAGGCAGCATTGGAGCTAGGCTTAGCAGCTTGGGTAGGACTTAAAGAATGAATGAAAGACCACACACAGAGGAAAAGAAAGAGTTAAATGGCGGATAGACAATGGGAGCAAGTTACCAAAAACTAGGGACAGAAATGTGTAAGATGGGCTCAGGGACAGAGTTCCAGGACACCTGTTTTACTGAGGTCAGTTGTTCTCCACCCTGGCTGCACATCAGAGTCATCTGGATGCTTAAAAAAATACCAAAGGCTGGGTCCTGCCCCTAGAGATTCTGTTTTATTTGACCTGTTTTGGGGGTGAGTCTAAGTAGTGATATTTATTAAAAGCTCCCCAGGTGATTCTAATGAGCAACCAGAGTTCAAAACCACTGACTCAGAGGATTCAAGAGAGACAGTTGGCCATTAGCCTGGAGCATGAGGTTGGGAGTGGACTGTACACGGGTGGACCACATCATTTATTCTCCAAACTGGGATACATTTTTGCATGAAGCAGGGTGCTATGAATTATTATGCCAAGACAGCAGATATAAACTAGATCATCCAAAACAAAGTGGGGTGTATGTCCACCCTAACCGTGGAAGAACTTGAATGCAGGCTATGGGATTTGGACTTCACCTTATCACAAATGGGAGCTACTGAAGGTTTGGAGCAGACAACTGACACCTAATAAAATGGGAGGCGGGAAGGCAGAGGAATGTGGGGAGGATTGGGCTGGGGAAATGAGGAGACAGAAAAAGTGTGTGCATGAGAAGTACTCCCCCAAGCCCACTCCAAATAAACCTTCAATTTAAATAAAAATCGTGTGCTTGCTGGGCAGCGGCTGCTTCAAGACAAGTCATTGCCTTCTCCTCCTCCTACGTGAAAACTGAAGTGGGGTGTTTGGGCTTCCCCTAGCACCCGAGACACCTCTCTGGGAGATCCCCTAAGGGCTGTTCGCATGGACAATTTCCTCTGCTCATTTGTGAACTGTGAAAACTCCAGGCAGCCTCTCTGGAGAGGCCCAAGGGAAGGACTCCTCCATGTCCCCTGGTGCCCTTGCCCTGGGACTTGGCTGTCCCAGCTCTACAATGTCCAGGCCACTCCCCCGCACTTCTGCCTTTTGGAGAGACCCTGTGTCCTCTTGCTCCTCCTCCAGCTTCCGGATCACTGGGAGGTGCTGCTGTCGTGGCTTTTTCCCTCCATTTGTCAGGCTCACAGGGCTTGTCAGGTGAGATATACACTTGTCCCACCCAGCCCGAGGCCAGAAAACTGGGTGTGTTTGGCTGTGAGCCCAGTGAGAGTGGGCCATCTCTGAGCGTGGGTGCTTCTCTTCCCAGAGTCTGGCATCCACAGACAGTGTTGGCCAGGCCTGCCCACAGTGTTGACTGGCATTTGGACTGGCACCTTCAATGTCCCCTGACCCCCCAGTGCAGAAAGCACTGGCCTAAGGACTGGAGCAGGGGAAGGGAAGATGCAGACCATCCGTCCTCCCACCCCCCACACCAGGCTGTGCTCCCTATCAGAATCCAGCAAAGCACAGAGGAGTGCCCTAATGCCAAACACAGGTCCACAGGTGGGGTGGGATGGCGGGAAAGGAGAGAAGCTGGAAAGAATGAACAGCTCCCACACTCAACATCCCCTTCCTTTTCCTTTTCTTTCCATCTGGGAAAATATATTTAATTCTCTCAAATGATCTCACAATATCAACACATAAGCACAGACCAAACTACCCACCCCTTGCATTCCCAGCGTCGGTGGTCCAGGAGGGAACTGACTGCAGAGACTGTTCCAGCCCCGCTCCTGCCATGCCCCTGAGTTGACAGGGAGAGGTCTCCCTAACCCAGGCAGCAGAGGACAAAATGTGGCAGTCTCTGGCCTGAATCCAGTAAGCAGTGCTCAATCCAGCCACCCCTAGGCTGCATGGCCTCAGGGCTGGGACTGGGGACGGGAAGTCTCAGTTCCTCCTAGCAAGAGAGGAATGCCCAACGCAAGAAGGAAATGCTTTGTGATAAATGTCCAGTGCTAGAGGCTGGGCTCTTTCAAGAAGTGAGTAATCTCAATGTTGTCATCTGGCGAATGGGTGTATGGCAAGTTTCCTGGTTCGGAACTTTTCTTTCTTTTTAATAAAAGTTGCCATCAGCTCCTTCTTTATCCAGCTGGTTAAGAACAGGTCTTCTTTGTTCAGGAAACTGTCCTTTGAGTGGTCCCTCTTGGCTATTCACATGTTAGGCTAGTGGGGCAAGGGGGAACTGGTTCCTGGGTGGCCTGAGGAGTGCAGGACCCTCTAGTCCCTACATGGAAGAGCAGGGAGATAATTTGCTTGGGGCCAAGGAACATCTGGGAAGAAAGAGATGAAGACAAAGACGTTTGCCGTGTTAAAGTTGGAATTTTCCTGATGAAGTTTGAGATGAAGTGCCCCAGGAATAGAATCCCCACAGCCCCTCAAGGGAATGGCACCAGGAAGAAAGGGGGTCAGAGTTGGTGACCAGGCTCAACCCCAGGGCCTCCATATTCCTGTGGCATGGAGTGTGGCTGAGGACAGAAGCCCTCCTGGGCTCAGCTCTACCAGGGCTGTGCGCTATTTGGGAGCCTGGCTAACCTTGGAAGTATGAGCTTACAAGAGCAGTGGCCTTGGAGCCCAAAGTTGGCACACCTCTGTGGACCACATAAGGGTCAGGACCAGTGAGGCAGGATCTCATCAGACTTTGCAAGACCATTTTCTTTAGAGACACATGGTACTGTGCAAGAAACAATGGAAATCAGGACCTCCTGACTCTCCAGTTTCTCTCTGATTGCCATTTGCAATCAGAATTACCTGTAGGACCAAGTTTGGCCCCAATTTCCTTGGGGGAGTGGGTGAGGAATAAGGGGTAAGAAGGGGTAAAGAGGCATGACTTCCTGTTAATATGGGCGTATGGGAGCTCAAGCAATTATTGAATAAATAAGAGGGATTACATTTGCACCCCAAACTGGGGAACTGTGCTTGCTTAGGAAAAAGCCCAGAAAGTTATACAACAAAAAGTTATTAGTCATTGCCTCCAGCTGGTAAGATATCAAGGGATGCCCTTCTTTTTCCTTTCTATATATCTGTATTTTCTGTTTTCTCCCCATGGTGATTATGAAGTGATTTGAGTTATTAAAAACACTTTACAGTAGCTCAAAAAAACTATTATTATGTAGAGGCCCCAAGAAAAAGCACATTATGTCTGCTTTCATTTATTCCAAGAGGTAGAGAAGAATATATTATGTTTTGGAAAGATTTTTCTTAATCCAAGTGGTTAAAAGAGAAAAGTTAGGTGCCTACTGATATGTGTTCAATTGCCTGGAAAAAAAATCAATTACATGGCAGTTTAACCTGCGGTGATGAGAGAGCCCAAGCCACACATGGACTCATTCAAGGGGCTGGGAAGACAAGATTCGGGTGGGGCAAGTCGTGAACAGGATTTTCAGGTCTCTATGGGGTTGCCCTAGGGTAGAGGGAGCCCAGGGCCTATCATGTGCAGAAGTTACAAGTGACCAAACCAAGCAGGCCATAAAAGGCAGGCATTTCCAGCAGCCTGGCAGGCACGTCCCTGAATGGAATGTCTTAGGAGATGCTGTAATGAAATGACCTCAAACTTCTATCAACAAAGATGTTTTGTCTGCTGGTTATTATGTCATCATCAACATGACGGGAAAGTCTGTGAGGATGAGGAATAAGGAGAGAAATGGTGGGACAACTGAGCCAGCCAAGAGACCCCTAAGAGAGAAGATAAGGAGGGCATGGCCCGTTTGAAAGGGTGGGTGTCCAGTTGGTGTAGACATGAAGAGATAGGGAGGTCTGGCTGGTGTAGAAATGGGAAGGCAGGGGGAGGGGAGGGTCACCTCAGAAACAGGAGCTTCGGGAAAGGGAGTGTGACATTCAAGCACTAGACCCTCTAATGCATACCTGCAAATTAGTGCCACCTCGCCCTAGGGGATGTGGGTGAGTGGAAAGTGAGCTGGATTTCATTCCTCCACTTGCTTCCTTGGCCATCTGCCCTTGTTCAGTAGACAATCCACACACATGTACCTGGGGGCCCAGGGCAGCCACAGCACAGTAATAAATGTGTTGTCAGTCTGCAAATCACCTCAGTCAGCAGCTGGGGTACAGGAGCAGGATGAGACCTCGGTGAGGAGGCCAGCCACCATGCATGGCATGGTAACAGTGCCCAGGGAAGCAGGCTGAGGTCCAGGGCAGAGTTCTAAGGCCAGTGGTGGGTTGGAATGAAAAGCAGGGAAACTGAGGCAGAATTCCTTTTGTATGGGCAGAGGCAAATGGAAGGGGTGGGTGACTTTGAGGCTCTCCATGTTCCCAGAGCACATCTTGGGCCACAAGGCTCATTCCAAGCCCTTCTGGAATAAGCTGCCTGCAGAAATCCTGCCTGTTTTGGCTGGGAGGGGTCCATAACATGGGTAAGCAGAGCGGGCTGTGGAGCCTCAGCGAACCCACCACAGGCCAGGACCAACAGGGCTGACCAGCTATGAGACCTGCTTACTGCTTTGGTTGTCCTTTATGGCAGTGGTGTTCAAATTTGAGCATGCATCAGAATCATCTGGAGGGCTTGAGGGATCCCAAAACAAAGTGTGTGATTTGGTAGGTCTCAGGTGGGGCCTGAGGATTTGCATTTTTTATTTCTCCCAAGTTCTCAGGTGATGCTTTAGAAACCACGTTCCAGGGATGCCTTATTTCTGAAGCCCAAGGCTTCCATGAAAACCTTGATTGCTTGTTCCTCCTTGATTTTCTTTTCAGCCCCAGAGCCTCAGAGGGTTCCCGTTAACAGTACCCCTCCAGGCTTCTCTGAGGTTGCAGCTCGATCTCATTTTCCTGGCAGAAATTGACACCTGTTTCTTCCCTTCTACTCTGGACTTTAAAGCAATGGATCTCTTAGAGAAAGAATTAGCCATGCCCCGATTTGGGTAGAGGGAGGGGCTGGGGGCCATCCCAGACCTCCTGTTGTCTCCAGTGCCTCAGCACCTATGGGGCAGCCCTGGACCCGGCGGAATCTGGAGATTGATTTCCAGGACCCTGCTGGGCAGGCGTAAGGGTAAGGGCTTAGTTACTGGCAGAGCAGCGATGATTTGCCCTAAGATCCTAACTGAGCCCTAAATCCTTTCATTAAAGTTCTAAATGAATCACAGCCTCTGAACTAGAACAAACGCCAGCGGGGCATCTCTCAGGTCTCAGTTTCCCCAGCTGTAAGTGAGGCTGCTCCAGATGTTCCCTGAGATAGCTTTTGGCTCTAGCATTCTTGATTCCGAGGAGGACAATGGGTCAGAGGAAAGAGAGGGCTCATCAGGGTTTGCTGGGAAAGGGGTGGAGCTGAAGGTGATGTCAGCCGTGGTGAGCTGGGCCTGGAAAAGCAGCGTGAGTCACCGGGCATGACGAGGGGCAGGATGGAGAGCCAGGGAAAGGCTTTAATGGGGAGTCATGTGGTCAAACCATCGACTAGGAGGCTGAGGCTGGCAGCCAGCTGGGGTTTGGAGCCAGAGAGGTTGCCTAATGTGCCATTCAGCCTCTTACCCATGGGGCAGGGGCCAGTGCATCATCCCGTGGCTCTGGCCTGGATGTGTTCAGGTTCTGGGCTCTGGAGAGCCATAGGCCCTTGTTGGGAGTGGCCATCCTAGAGGGATGGCTGCCAGGGCCCTGACCTAGCACCATGTGGGCATGGGACTTGGGCCTCTCTGTAACCCAGACCTGCAGCAAATTCCCTACCTGCAAGCAGCCTACCCAGCCTGACCCCCTCGGCCTGACTTTGGTCCTGGGGCTGCCTTGCTCATGTCCCTGTACCTCTGCTTGTCTCTCAGCCCCTCTGAGACAGGGACTGGGACTTGCCTGCTCTTGTAGCCCCCTGCACAGCCCAGCTTAGCACCGTGCTGGACTCCTCATGGGAACTGAGGGAACTATCCACCTCAATCCAAAAGCTACTTTGGAAAGAGACAGGGGCGGAGCTGAGGTCTGACCAGCCCTTCCCACCCCCATGCCTGCTTCTCACTTCTCTGTCATCTCTGCCTTTTGCCAAGACCCTTGGTGCTTTGTGCTGATGGTCACAACGCTGAGATGGGCAGCCCAAACCAGGACTCACAAAGCAGGGGAGATGCACCAATGCCAGCATCCCTTTGCTGACCCCTCTTCCTGGAGGGCACCGGGCTCCGGGCTGACACACCTCAGTTATGGTCTGGCTTGGCCACAGCTAGCTGTGTGTACACGAAGTCCCTCTTCTTCTCCAGGGCCGGCTTCCTCATCTGTAAATTAGGAGCAATTATTCTTGAGCTACTGGGTCACCTGACACAGAGAAGAGGCTCCACCGATGTTTCTATGATTGTTGTCATTAAAAAACATGACAGCCAGAGAGGTTGGCACCGGGGTGTCTGCCATCCCTCGTGTCCTGAGAGCAGGCTCAGCTGGGCCCAGCTGAGATACTGGAGCTGAGAGCCCTGGAGAGATACTGGTGGGTGGGTGGCTGTGCAGGCATCTTTGGGGGAACAGAGTGGGATATGGGGAGGGGGCCGGAGTCCAGGGGGACTCCCAGCCTAGCCTGGGCCATGGGTGGGTGAAGGCCATGCCCCCTCCGCAGGGGCTCTGATCAGGTGGGGGCAGGCTTGGAGGTTATTTGAGGGCACAGGAAATATCTGGAATCTATGAGAATGGGAACTCAGGTCAGAGGTCACCTCAAATTAAAATTGAAAAAGCCCTCTGTGTGAAGGGAATCAAAGGAGGTGAAGACGTTTGCTCTTCCGGAGTCTCCTGAACCCAGATGTTAGCGGTTAAAATTCCTGTGGGGCTAAACGGTGGGCACAGGGAGCCATCTTGGGGCCCGGCAGGGCAGGAGCCCAGGGAACAGTGTGCATTCTCATGTACCCTCCAGGACATTGCCCCAGGGATTATGAGCAGAGCGGGGCCTGTCCCTGCAAAGCCGGGTGCTGTGGGGGGATGGGCACTCTGGGGTCTAGGGCCTCCCGCGGCCCTTCACTCTGGGCTGGCTGCACCCTGGAATGAAACAGGATCTGGCATCCCTGCTCTAGTCTGAGCCAGGACAGCTCATTAGCTGGAGGGCCGTGCTCCTTCAGATTTATGGTCAGGAGCCCCTCATCTGAGGGCCAAGGTCTTTTGATCTGAGCCCAGGGGTAGGGGCAGGGGATTCCTGGGTCTTAATTGGCATCAGCTAGGCTGATGCTGACCAGGACTCTGTCCCAGGCCTCAGCCCGCAGCCCCAGCCCCCCAGGCTGATGCTTATTGGGGGTGGAGGGCTCTGGGAGGAAGACAGGCATGTGCGGAGTTTGTTCCTACTCTGCAGGGCCTCATGGGCAAAAATACCAGGAGGGAATGAACAGCTCAAAAGGATCCTCCCCTCAGCCGCTCCCCAGCCTTGACCCATCCCCGACCCTGATTCTTCCCTTTCCCACTCTGACCTCACCCCAACCAAGTGTCACATCCTATCTGGGGTGGGGCTGGGGGCTGCCATGTACCTGGGCCTGTGCCAGGCACCTTGAGGACACAAGGAAAGTCTAGCAGAAAAGTCAGCTATATACACAACTAGAAAGAATAGATAAAATAATAGGCTGTGCTTTTGATATCTTGGACTTCCCCAGGTCAGGGATGACCATTTACATGAGGGATTTATTGTGTCTTGTTCTTTTGTTTTCGGGCTTAAGGAGGAGTGAGGAAGTATACTCAGGGGATACTTACTTAGAGAGAGAAAGATATTAGGGAGAAGAAGGGGAAGGGAGGAGAGGAAGGGAAGAAGACATTGAGACAGAGGCAGACAGAGAGTGAGACAGGAAAAGAGATTGTCAATCCTGAATCCAGCTGTGTCTCAACCTAGCTGACACGTCCTGGACTTCTCAGGAATGTGGCCCAATAAATTTCCTTTGGGCTCAAGCTAGATGGAGCTGGGCCTCTCTCCTGAACAGTGTGGGCGAGCCACACAGTCAATGGCTGCATTGGTGAATGTGTGCGTTTATTCCAAAGGAGAGGGCAGAGGGAAGGAGAGAAAATGGGACAAGCCTTCTGCCCTCAGAAGCTGACCTTAAGTTAAGGAGCCAGCACTCCAACATGAAAGCCACTGGGAGATGCTATCATTCCAGAGGCAGAGGAGGAATGGGGACAGAGAGGGCAGCAGCAGAGAGCAGAAGGACCGGGCCCAGAGGAATGGGAGAAAGCTTTGTCTTGGTAGCCTGCAGAAGGCTCTGGAAGCAAGCAGAGGAGAGAAACTCCACTGCATAAGAGCCTGGTGACTCAAGAGGGGCCGGGCGCCTTCCCCGTCCTGGGCCAGGAGAGATAAAATATCATCTCATTAAAGGATAGCTTCTTATTATTTATGAAAGATGCGTGTGAGCTTTTTTTTCAGGTAGAGCCCGGGGGGATGAGGATATCAGATAAGGGACCAAGGTCAGGTAATTCAGGCAGCGTACAAATGCACTAAGACTTGAGTGCACTATCTGTAGTCTATTTAAAGCCAGCTCTTCTATGATGCCCTGGTACTGTATTTCTTCAAATTCTCCCTCATTTTTTCTGGTCACTCAGTTTCTTATTTCTTTTAAGGACTGAGCCTTTCTTAAGCGTTTCCTAGGGAGATGACTCTTCCCTCGTGTATCTGGCCAGGCAATATGGGTCACTTCCCAGATCATAGTTTCCAAACTGGAAGGTCTTTACTCTGCCAGCTTCGTTATGGTGTAGTTTGCATACTGTAGAATTTGCTTGTTTTACGCATACAGTTTGATAAGCTCTGCCAAATGGAAATAGCCACCTACCTACCATCAAATGAAACATTGATTTTTTTTATCCCCCCATAAAATTCCCTCATTCCCCATTGCAATCAATCCCCGCTCCCACATCCCACCTCAGGCAAGCCCTGACCTGCTTTCTGGCTGCAGCGTGGCCCTCCCTGGAGTTCAGACGCAGGGAGCGGCGGAGTCTGCAGCCTTTTGAGTTAGGCGGCTTTCATTTAACTGCTGAACTTCAGCGCAGTGCCTTGAGAGTCATCCATGTCATTCATTGTATTACTATTTTGTTCTTCCTTATTGCTGGGGTCATTCCATCATACGGGTGCCCTACAGTTTGTCCATCCACCAGTGATTAATGTTTTTGGAGAGAATGAATAAGGCAGGAGGAGGGCAGCGGGCGTCTGTCCCACACCTAGGGGACCTGTTTACTCTCACCCTGCCCCGAAGGGGTTGCGAGGGAGGGAGGCCAGAGCCTGACCCCATACACAGGACAGTGACAGTTACAAGGCCCAGCACTATGGGAACTGGAGGGTTGGGGGTCAGAAGGGACATCCTGGCCAGCTTTAATAATAAGAGCCACCATGAATTGAGAGTCTACTACGTGTCGCCATCTCCAGCCCTCACTAAAACCACACAACGGAGAAGCTTGAGAACACGCCCTCAGGAAGACCAGGGCACTTGCTCAAGGTCACAAAGCTATTAGGTGGCCAGTTAGGAGTCAGGCCCTGGCTTATTGGTCTCCAAAGCCCCCACTACCCCGCCTTCTTCCTGGAGGAGGTGGGAGTATTTTGGGAGTTCTGAAGGTCAAAGGCAGTGAGAGCAGCCCAGTTGGGCATTCTGGCGAAGCCTGCGGGGGAGGTGGAGCCCTTCCCAGAGCACCCTGATAACCCTGACAGGCACACTCGCTGCCTCCGGGGCCTGAGGAGGAGGGTGGAAAGCTCTCCCATATCCTCGAGCGAGGAAAGCGCTCTCCTTGACTGCCCTCGCATGTCTAGTGTGAGTTCCCACTGGGAGAGGGGCAGCTGGAGGACCTGAGGCACTCACTGTACCTTGGGGAAGGGCTGGGGAGGGAAGACCCCCAGGCAGCGCACCCCCAGGAGTGTCAGGAGCAGGTCTGTGTGGGCCTGGAGAGCTGCAGCCGGAGGCACTGCACCCACAAACTCTAGTCTTCACTCACAGCAGCCCAGAGTGGCCCCTGAAGTTCTCTGCCTGTTTTTGATTCCTTCCATGCTGCTCCATAAAAGGCAGAGGGACGAGGATGGGAGCTGAGAATCGAGAAGCGGGAGTGAAGCCCCAGCTCTGTCACTGGCTGACTCGGCGACTGCGCCCTTCATTTTGGGTCTCAGTTTCCCCATCTGTAAAATGAAGCAGTTTTAGTGATGAGACAGACTCGAAGGGTCCTGCCTGATCTGAGTTTAGATCTTTGTGGAGTAAACAGTGACTCAAGGGGGCTGTGAGCAGGAGGCCCCTCGAGGTAGGTGCAGGGTGCTTTCCCCTCTCTAGGCACCCCGGGCCTCTCCGCAGAGCCTCTCTCTGGAGAAGGGTCTTTTCCTGGGGCACCTCTGACAGCACCCCCTTTGCACTCTTGCTGAGGTTCCTTCAGGCTTTGGTGAAGGCCTGGCCCTCCAAAACGGGGTGGGGAGAGGACAGGAGAGCAGAGGCAGCAGAGCCACGTAGTGCCCAGAGCAGGAGCTGCTCCATCGAAACCAGGTCACCCTCTTGCTGTTCCTGACTATTATCCCAGCGAAACTGAGAGAGCACACACCTGGGGCCATTTGCTCAGCGTCCACGGTTTTACGATCAGAGCAGCCTCAGACGAGGAAAGAATGAGTTCATCCATCCCCACTGCCCCCGCCTCACTGCAGGGCCAGTTTCACGGGGCACATGCCAGGCCCTGCGGCCTCTGCAGCCTGGCCCAAGGCACCATGTCCATGGAATGCAGGGAAGGAGCGTCTCCTCAGCCCCCAGCCTGCCCGCCTCAGCCTGCCCGCCTCAGCCTGCAGGGTGTGGTTAATGGGGAGAGGCTGCCAGCACCTCCGTCCTAGCCCAGGTGGGCTGGGTAGGCCTGGGGAAGTTGAGGCAGACAGGAGAACAGGAGCTGATTCTCTCCTCTCCTGCTTCCCCCCAGGACCTGTCTCTGCACTGGGACCAGGAAGATGCTTTATTTCAAAGGTGAGACATAGAGCTAGAAGCGATCATAAGGCAATTCCTGCCTCTCCTTGTTTTCTGGAGTTTCCTTTGAGAGTCCTTGAACATTTCTGCTTCCTGGAAGGTTGCATCTCCTTCCTCCTCTCCTCTACCAAGTTTCTTTCTCTGGGCCTGATGCATCAAAGCCCCAGCCCGGTGAGACGGTGATGCCCCAGGTTCAGACAGACTTCAGGGGAGGCAGAGCCCAGTTCCTAAAAGCCATGTGCGCATCTGGCTATGCAATGCCCTTCAGCTGTCATTGAGAGCTGCCCCCTGCTGGAACCGGCCGCAGCTGCTCCCGTGACTGGGAGCCCAACTTCTCTGTGGCATAGAAAAAGCCTTTCTCAGGCCAGGCGCGGTGGCTCTCGTCTGTAATCCCAGCACTTGGGGAGGCTGAGGTGGGAGAAACACTTGAGGTCAGGAGTTCGAAACCAGCCTGGCCAACATGGTGAAACCCTGTCTCTACCAAAAAATACAAAAATTAGCCAGTCATGGTGGCACGCACCTGTAATCCCACCTACTTGGGGGAGCTGAAGCATGAGAATCACTTGAACCTCGGAGGCAGAGGTTGCAGTGAGCCGAGATCGAGTGACCCTGTCTCAAAAAAAAAAAAAAAAAAAAAAAAGGCCTTTCTTCTGAACTGCCCCAGAGCCTCCATCAGATGCTCCAGATGTCACTGTCCTCCACCTGTGGTCGCTTGGTTAGGATTTGCGTGAGGCTTTCTAGGCCCTAAGGACTCAGGTAGTGAAGAGAAGTGCAGCAGGTGAGACGGGCTATGAAGATCCGAGGCTCACCTGGTCCTGGTTCCTGGTGATGAGGAGTGGATGATTTAATGCAGGGTAGGTAGGGCTGCAGGCACATGGATTATTCAAGGTGGTCTTGGAGCCATGGCCCCAGGGTGGGAGCTGGCATCCAGGCAGGACTTATGGATGGGAGAGGGGCTCAGCCCCATCCACTGCACCCTAAACCCAGCCTGGCACCGGGGTCCTCACGCAGCCTGGTGCCCTTCAGTCCTGTTTTTCTGGCAGCTGCCTCAGGCTTGAGAATAAACTCCACCCAGTTGCTTCCACTCGATCCTCCCCACAGCAAATATCTGGCCCCCCCTGCATCTTTTGCACGCAATTCCCAAACTGGAGAATTTTCCATATTTTGAGTCTGTCCCAATCAAGGTAGAAGCCAGAACTCACTCCCCACCCTCCTCAGGGGGCAGTCATTATGACCAATGTCCCTACGTGAGACTCGTAGGGGGTCCTCTATAGAGAATGGGGTGGCGGAGGTCTCTGGCCCTTCAGGGCAACGGTGGCAGAGTTCTGGGGTCACACTGGAGCAGAGCTTTCTGGGGTCGGGGGGCAGCCTCTGCTGTGAGTCTTAGGTATTATTCTTAGCTCCGTGGCATCCAAGTCTGACTCTTTGGTCTCCTGGAGATCCCATGAGCTTCAAAATGCCTTTCAATAACTTGCTTTTCTGTGAAAACTAGCTGGAGTGAAGCCCTACCACTCTTAGAAAAACTCACCAGGCAGAAAGGATGGGAAAAGCAATCCTAGCAAAGAGTGGCAGTTCTTAACCCTTTAAGCCAGCTGGGCACTTATAAACGTGCCCACACCCAGCATCCTGCTTGCTTTGGGCATAACCCACATCTGAGTCGTTAGGGTGGCTTTAAATTCTGCAATGTTATGGGATTACACTTTTCTGTAATATTTGCATGAATTGGCTTGGGTCCCTATCACACATGAGGTGAAGATCCCAAGATGTTTTCCCTTCCCATGTCTTCAGGGGGTCTAGGGGACAGTGAGTTTTATTCAGGTCTCTTCTCTCTTCTTTGCTGTGCTTCTGCTTGTTCTCTTCTTGCTCTCTGTACAGTGTCGCCCTCCACCAGACACACCCGAGGTCCTTTATTCCCTAAAGGACACCAATGAAAGGCTGAGTGTTGAAATCTGGGAGCCAGAAAGTGGGGTGAGTGATACCACAAAACAGCACAGCAGACCATCTCTTTTTTCTTTTAAGATTTTATTGTAGGATATATCACACACAGAAAAGTGCATGAAACATAAATGTACACTTTAGCAAATCGTTATAAAGTAAAGACCTATATAACAGTCACCCAACTGAAGAAATAGGCTATTGCCAGCGCTCCAGGACCCTCCCATGTGCCCCACTGTAAACAGTCTTTACAGTGACATGTTTCATACATTCAGAAGAGTGTATAAAACAGATACAACTGAATGAATCTTCCAAAAAGGAACACCGTGTGCCCATTAAATATGGTATTACTAATATCTAAGAAGTCTTTTTTTTTTTTTTCAATGGAGTGTCACTCTGTCACCCAGGCTGGAGTGCAGTGTTGCGATCTTGGCTCACTGCACCCTCTACCTCCCGGGTTCAAGCGATCCTCACACCTTAGCCTCCTGAGTAGCTAGGATTATAGGTGTGTGCCACCACGTCTGGCTAATTTTTTTTCTAACAGTTTACAAAAGTCCTTTCTGGGGACATCACTGGACAAGACCATGAGTGAGCCTAGGGAAACACAGGCTCCCTATAACTAAGGCATCGGGCAGGGCTGTGATGTGAGCCAGATACCGGACACCTGGCAAGAGGAGGGAGCTGTTTGGTGTTTTTTCCTTCTAAGCTCACTATGGCCCACATCCAGTTCTCAGGAGCAGGGCAGATCACACTGAGGTGGGGGTGGCAGCAGGCAAGGAGGGGTGGGCACAGACTGCACAGCACATGGTCAAGACAAGGCAAGGGCAAATCAAAACTGGGGCCAGGCTCACCGGAGCCTCCTGTCCTCAGGTTGGAAAGACTGTCCGGTGGCAGTGACGCTGCGACAGCCCTCGATGTACCTCTTGCTGGCATTGTGCCACCCCCTCGGGGACCAGCTGCCCTCCCTGTCTTGTGCAGTGCTGTCCTCCTGCACTACCCTCCTACGGACTGCTCCTTGCCTCCTCTCCATGCTGGCTGTGCCGTTTCCTATGTCCTGTGTCTTCCCTTCTGTTAACTCTCAGTTTGGAGGAGCACATTCTCCAGTAGCTTCTTGAGAAATGTTGCATGGGAGGAAATTTTCTTGCAATATCGCACGACTAAAAGTGTCTTTAGCCTCATACATAATTAGTATTTGGCTGGATAGAGGAGTCGGCTTGGAGAGCGTGTCCCTCCAGCATTTTGGGTTTGCCTTTGCTGTCTTCTTGTGTCCCAGCGCTGCTGATGAGTTATCAGAATCATTCCGAGTCCTCATCTTTTGCATGTCACCTGTTTTCTGCCCCATCTGAAAGCTTGTGGAATTCCATTGTCCCCAGCTGCCTGAAATTTCACAAAGATATGCTTGGCATGGGCCTGTTTTCATCCCTTGCCTGGCTCTTTTTTCTCTGTAATTTCTGTTATTTCCATATTAGATCTCCTGGGCTAAGCCTCCAATATTTTAAATCTTCTCTCCTACTTTCCATCTCTTGTTTTTTTTTTTTTTCTTCCTGATTTCTAGGAGATTTCTTCAACTTTATCTTGCATACCCTCTGATGTGGTTTGGGTCTGTGTCTCTGCCCAAATCTCATGTTGAATTGTAATCTCCAATGTTGGAGGTGGGGCCTGGTGGGAGGTGACTAGATTATGGGGGTGGATTTCTCCTGAATGGTTTAGCACCATCCTCTTGGTGCTGTCCTCATGACAGTGAGTGAGTTCTCCTGAGACCTTGTTGTTTAAAAGTGTGTGGCACCTCCCCCTTCTCGCTCTTGCTCCTGCTCTGGCCATATGACATGGCTGCTCCCACTTCACCTTTCTCCATGATTGGAAGCTTCCTGAGGCCTCCCCGGAAGCAGATCCTGGAGCTCTGCTTCCTGTACAGCCTGCAGAACCATGAGCCAATTAAACCTCTTTTCTTATAAATTCCCCAGTCTCAGGTATTTCTTTATAGCAATGTGAGGATGACATAATACACCTTCTACTGTGGCTGCCATGTTTTTCATTTCCAAGAGTGTTTTACTTTTATTCTCAGCATATTCACTTTTCCTGTCTTCTAGGGTGGGGCTTGCCAACCTTTGACTTCATGGGGGAGTGGTCTGGATGTGTCGTTTGTCAGAGATCCCCCCATATCAGGATTTAGTCTTCCTTTTGAGTTGCCCAGACTATTTAGAGAAGATTGTTCTAACTCCTGCTTTGAGAGGAAGGCTGCCTTGTGTTTTGGGTGTTTAGAGTCAGAGTCCGGGGTGGGGTCTCCATAGGCATATGACCCAGAATCTTCCTGCCTTCTGGGCAGTAACCACTCACAGTAATTTTCCAGTGGGGAAGGGGAGGGGACAGGAGGGTTTCCAGGCATCTGACTGCTTCTTAAACAACTTTCAACCCATCCTTATTTCAACTTCCTTCTTTACCCAGCTTAGAGAGGTTCCCTCTAGAGTCAGTTCCTGAGACTTCTAAGCATCCTGCTTGTAAATGGTTTTGATTCTAAACTCTCCCCACTGCTGGCCTAGGAACTGGCTTTCTCCATCTGCGTCGGAGAATGCTCATCTGCCAGCTTCCCATGTTTTGCTCCTGTTTTCTCCTCTTCTGTTTCCCTCATTTTTGTGGTTTTATGTCTTCCTTTTAAAGTTCTCTATTATTGTTCTAGTGAGATTTGGGGAAAAATGCAATTAGATGTGTGTTTAGGCTGCCACTTTAACTTGAAAACCTCAAATATTCCTCTTCTGAAAGTCCCCCAGCCACTTCCTGAGAGTAGGAATTTCACGCCAGCCCTCTCTTCTCAAATGCCAGCTTCCCTCCGTGTGGCTTGGATGCCTCAAACTCAACACCCTCATCGCCTTCATTTCTGTCTTCCTCACAGAGGCCCCGCAGCTCCGTGTGAGGCCTGCACACAGGAGAGACAAAGAGACATGAACTGGGAGACTCCAGAGGAGGTGTCTGTGCTGGGAAGAGAGACGACAGGGCCTGGGGCTGCTGCCTAGCTGGGGAAGAGCTGGGCCCCAGGTGAGGGCTTCTGGGCCCTGGCTCCGATCTGACCCAGGCAGACTCACAGACAATATCAATGTCCTGTGGTTTATGCCAGGATACAGAAAGTACGGGATAGAGCAGGAGCCCAGAGGAGGTGTGACTCACCCAGCTGGGAGACTTCGGGGAGAGCAGGGAAAGGTAAAGTGTCCTGGACTAAACTGGGCCTTGAAGAATGAGAAGCTCTTGGCCAGGTGGAGAAAGTGAGGAAAGGGGTGTTTCAGGCAGGCAGTCCACTGACCTATGTATGGTACCTCTGCAAATTAGACAAAGGTGTCCCCTCTGGGTAAATGTAGACAGTGACAGAGAGGCCTGCATGTGCGAAAGCTTGGTGTGCTCTGTGGCAGGCAGGAGAATGACCCTCGAAGAAGTACAAGCCCTAATCTCTAGACCCCGAGAATCGGCCTGTGGATGTGATGAAGGACCTCGAGATGGAGCGCATATCCTGGATTATCTGCGCAGGTCCTGGGTAATCACCAGGGCCCTTCTAAGAGGGAGGCGGAGAGAGAGGTCAGTGTCAGAGAGAGATGTGACGATGGGAGAAGAGGTCAGAAAGAGATTGGAAGATGCTACTCAGTGGCTTTGCAGATGCAGGGAGGGGGCATGAACCAAGGAATCGGGAGGCTTTTTGAAGCTGGGAAAGGCAAGGCAATGGATTCTTTCTTGGAACCTCCAGAAGGAATGCAGCCCTGCTGGCACCTTGACTTTCATCCTTTAAGACCCATGTCTGGACTCCTGACCTCCAGAACTGTAATATAATACATCTGCGTTGTTTCGAACCTGTAAGTCTGTGGTAGTTTGCTGCAGCAACAACAGGAATTAATACTCAGGCCCTGGTGCTTTCAGGGAAGGGCTGTGGCCAATGTGCCTGGGGCCTGGGGTGGGAGAGGTGGAGTGGGGACAGATGAGGCTGGACAGATAGGCAGGGGATACACAGGGCCTTCCAAGTCACAGCAAAGAATTTGCCCTAGCCAAGGCAGTCCAAGTGAGACAGGAGGAAGAGGGGAGCAGTATTTTGGGGGGATCCGTGCTGTGGAAGATGGTCTGGTGGGAAGTGGCTGGGGCACACTGACATTGGGGAGCTGCTGTAGGTGCAGCAGAAGGTGACATGGCCTGGACCCAGCTAGTGGCAATGCGGGAAGGCATAGCCTGCCTGAGAGCTGAAACACAGCAGAGGGCAAATTCCTCTTCTCCCCTGCCCTTGTTTTTTTTCTTCCTGCCTCACCCAGCTATGGTGCCAAAGGCTCCAAAGGGCCACCTGAGATAAGGTAATGATTTTGGAGGAAGAGTAAATTCTGGGGAATGTTCCCAACGGCTCAACTGGGAAAGGACAATTGACTTCCTATGTGTGCACAGCTATTCATGCACACTCACACCAACGACACACACACACACACACACACACACACACACATGAGGGGTTCTAGCATGCCCGTGGCCTTTCTCCTCATTGGCCTTCTCCCTCGCGGGGCCAGGGAGAGGCTGCTCACCCTTGGCAGTCCCAGGAGCCCGAGGTGCGGCCCAGGGGGCATGTCTGATGTCAGGCCTCCAACAGTGACTCCCTTTTGGGGCCAACAGGTGAGGGAGACAGGAGGCGGGAGTCAGAGGACTGAACCCTGAGTGGGGAGGCACAGGGCACACTGCCAACCGACTCTTCAATCACACCTGTGATCACAGCAGAGGCGAAACTCTGGTCACTTCATCAGAAAGATCAAGATTGCAAACCACAGCACCTGGTGTGTGCACACCCTGCACCCTTCACTCAATCTCCAGCCACTCTGAACCACCTGTAGCTCTCTGAATGCCACCCGTTTCACCTGTCTCTTTCTCTGTCTGGGCATCTTCTCTCCCTTCTGGTCTGCCTGGTTATCTCCTCCTGATTGTTCAGGTCTCACATCAATAAATTCCTTTTCCGCGGGGACTGGCTGGGACTGGCTGAGGTTCAGTGCATGGACCCTGGAGCTAGTCAGCCCTGCAATGAGTGCAGCCCTGCTGCCCACCAGCTGTGTGGGGCAGTCAGGGCTCCTCCCTGGGCAAGAGACAAAAAACCCAACCCACACTGGCTTAAGCAAAAACAGTATGTATTGGCTTATGAACCTGAACAACCCCAGGATGGACTTCAGGCAAGGGTTTATCCAGGACTCAAACGAAGAAACCTGGGCCAGGTTTCCTACCCTCCATTTTTCAGCCCCATTTCCCTGGTGCGAGCTCCATTCTCAGATACACTCTGTCCAAAGCCCCAGGCCACATGCTCCCCTGTCCAATTTTATATTCAAATTTAAATTTATCTAAAACTTAAATATGAATAAACTATGTAAATCTGTAATATATATTTTATATACAATATGACATACATATTAAATAAATTTAAATTTATATAAATAGTAAATATTTTAATTTATTAAATTTATATTTATATTTAAAAGATGAGGAAAATAAAAGCATTTTAAAATGAAGTATTGTCTTCCTCCTTTTCTGCTGGCCTGGGTCTTTACACCATGGCAGAGGTCACTGCTGGTAGATGAGAGAAAGCTTTCTAAAGCTGAGACATGTGTTTTTGAGAACTAAATGTTAGATGGAGGGCAGTTAAAAATTAAAATATACCTTTGGCCAGGCGCAGTAGCTCATGCATATAATCGCAGCACCTTGGGAAGCTGAGGGGGTGTGGATCATTTGAGGCCAGGAGTTTGAAACCAGCCTGGGCAACATAGTGAAACCCCATCTCTTCAAAGATAAAAAATAATTAAAAATGTTTAAAAATAAAAAAAATTAAATGCACCTTTTCTAGACCCACTTCTATTCTAATAATTCTGCTTATATGCATTTATCCTATAAATATATGTCACTTGTTCAAAATAATTTATGCACAAGATTATTTATTGTAGAATTATTTGTATTAGTAGTGGATAGTTAGAAAAAGCATAAATATTCATTAATAGGCAATTGGTTAAACAAAGTACAGGACATTCCTATAATGGAACACTGTGATACTATAAAGTCATAGTATCATTAACCAAGAATGAAATCTCTGTCTGTTTTTTTTTTTTTTTTTGGAAACAGAGTCTTTCTCTGTCATACAGGCTGCAGTGCAGTGGCATGATCTTAGCATCTTAGCTCACTGCAACCTCTGCCTCCCAGGTTCAAGCAATTCTTGTGCCTCAGCCTCCCGAGTAGCTGGGACTATAGGCATGCACCACCATGCTCGGCTAATTTTTTTTTTTTTTGTATTTTAATAGAGACAGGGTTTCATGGTGTTACCCATGCTGGCCTCAAACCCCTAATCTCAGACAATTCACCCGCCTTGGCCTCCCAAAGTGCTAGGATTGCAGGCATGAGCCACCATGCCCGACCTAAGAATGAAATATCTCTATAGTGACATGGAATGAGCTCCATGATATATTAAATGAAAAAATAGGCCAGGTGTGGTGGCTCACGCCTGTAATCCAAGCACTTTGGGAGGCTGAGGCGGGTGGATCATGAGGTCAGGAGATAGAGACCATCCTGGCTAACATGGTGAAACCCCGTCTCTACTAAAAATGCAAAAAATTAGCTGGGCGTGGTGGCGGGCGCCTGTAGTCCCAGCTACTTGGGAGGCTGAGGCAGGAGAATGGCGTGAACCCGGGAGGTGGAGTTTGCAGTGAGCTGAGATCATGCCACTGCACTCCAGCCTGGGCAACAGAGCGAGACTCCGTCTCAAAAAAATAAAATAAAATAAAAAATTAAATAAATAAATAAATGAAAAAATACAGAATATTATATAACCATTTATGTAAAATGTGTGTGTGCATGTATGTGTGTGTGCATAAGACAAACTTGTATTATGCAAACTTGTATTATGCGTAAAATATCATATGTCTGGAAGGCAGAAATTTTGGAAAAGGGCATGCTCCTCTGGGAATGCTCATAGGGTGCCCATTAACACCATCAGAATTTTGTATAATTTGTCTATATTTACCTATTAGAAAATAATAATTTTCTTAAAAAGTACCTCAAAATAATGAAAACATGAATAAATGAATAATGAATAAATGAAGTGCTTAGACCAGAGTCTGGCCTAGAATGATCACTAAGGAATGTTGCCTGTCGCCCCCTCCCAGGGCTGCCTTGGCACTCTCTGTGCCCTCATCACATTGCATACACACCTCCATCCCAGCAATTATATCACTGTGTCATCACTGCCAAGTTCCACATCTGTCCAACTGGACCAAATATGACTGTACTTCAGGGGCATTATTTTTGAGCTTTATGTCCTCTGCCCCTAACATAGACCCTGGCATGGAGTAGGTTGTTGAGTGAATGAAGGACGGAATACATTTACTAATGAATGTATTAGAGGGAAAAATGAGGCTTTAGCCTCTGCTCTCTAGAAGCTCATGGCCCAGTAGTGGGACAAGAGTCACACAGGAAACATTTCAGTGACTACAGGCTGCATATGACAATGGCCCTGTGACCCTGGGGATCTGGGCGAAACAGAAGGGAACGCTCCCCAGAGCAGAGAAGAAGTGATTACAATTGGAAGGGTGGGTTGAAGCCTGCCAGCAGATGGGAGTCAGGGCAGCAGCAGGACCACACCTGGTATGGTGGGAAACACAGGGGAACCTGAACTTGACCACAAGGCAAAGCTATGCTCAGTTGACCCGCTATTATAACACAGGCTTCAATCTCAGGGCCATGCAAGGACACCTGAAAGACACCTGAGCCTAACGAGCTGCTGCTTGGAGTCAGCACTCAGAGATGGAGCTGGGTAGCCAGTCAGCCCCTCTGCCTTCGTCTCCAGCCCTGCGGGAACTGGGTTTTTGTGTCTTCTGGAATCTCAGGACTAGGATCAGACAGGAAGTATACACCCTTCCTGTATTTGTCCTAAAAACTGGCCTGACTGCTTGGAATGGTTATTAACTTGATTATTAACTTGGTCATTAACCAAGACCTGACCTAACAGTGTCAATTCTTGGGGGCTGGAAGGTGGCACAAGGCTCAGGAATGCCAGCCAGACTCACCATCAGTGAGATTGCTTTTGTTATTTATCATTGTATCACAAACCACTCCAAAGCTCAGTGGCTTTAAAACCACCACAATTTTATTGGCTCTCTCATGGTTCCATGGGTTGTCTGGGATCAGCGGGTGGATCTTCTGCTGGTCTTGCTTAGAAGTCTCTCATGCAGGTGCATTCAGATAAAGCTTGAGGCTGGAGTCAGCTGGAAGCTCAACTAAAATGCTGGATCAGTGGACCTCTCCTCCTCTCCATGTGGCCTCCCCATGTGGCCTCTTCAGCAGGGTGGCCAGAAATCTTTCATGGTGACTCAGGGCTCTCCAAGTGAAAGAAAGAAGAAGTATTAATAGAAACTCCCATTTCACTTTTTTGTTTGTTTTTGGTTTTTAGAGACAGGGTCTCACTCTGTCATCCAGGCTGGAGTGTAGTGGCATGATTATGGCTCGTTGCCACCTTGAACTCGTGGGCTCAAGTGATCCTCCCACCTCAGCCTTCAGAGTAGCTAGGACCACAGGTATGTACCACTACACCTGGCTAATTTTTAAATTTTTTGTAGAGATGGGGGTCGCACTATGTTGCCCAGGCTGATCTCAAATTCCTGGCCTCGAGCACTCCTTCTACCACAGCCTCCCAAAGTGCTGGGATTACAGCCATGAGCCACCACACCCAGCCTGCCATTCCTCTTAAAGGCTAAACCTGAAGCTGGCATGGTATCACTTCCACCGCATTCTGTTGGATAGTGTGTGTCAGAGGCCAGCCTAGGTTCAGTGTGGGAGGGGACTACATCAGGGCATGAATGCCAGGAGTGTGCTTCACTGGGGCTCATCGCTGGAGGCCAGCTGTCAAGCATGGCAGAGTGTTAGAGGCGCAGCTGAGGCAGCAAGGAGAGAAGTGATTGGTCAGTGATAGATCCAGGTCTCATGGTCCTCTCCACTCGGCTAAGGAGGTCCTGGGGCTGGTCTTGGCTCAGGTCTTCCTAGCACAGCAGGAGTCAAGCCCAGGCGGATCTGCTTATATATCACACTTTTTCACCCCCACCTCTCTGTACACCGTGCCTGTGCTCAGGGCTTTGGCCCCACTGTTCTCTGAATGGATGCCCCTTGACTGGCCACTTTAGCACACAGAGTTAAAGAAGCCCTCAGCGTGGCAGTGGTGGCCTGGCTGTTGCAAGGGAAACTCCAGTCTACTATACAGAATTGCCTCCTGGGCTGTTCCACTTGCTCCTCCCTAAAGCACCTCAACATCAGTACATCCAGAGCTAATCCCCCACCTCCCGCCCTGACACTCTCCAGAGGAGACTTCATCCAGGAGCTCCAAGGCCATTTGTCCTTCCTGAATAGATGGCTCAAAGACAGCCCCTGTTATAGTAGAGCAGAAAAATCAAGTTTAATATCTGGAAGTGCCCTTTCCCTAGAGTGAAATGCAGGCAGTAACCATGCCTGACTCAATATTATTTCTTGATAAGTAAACTGGATAAATTATGTGGAAGCATGAAAAAGTGTGGAGTGCTATAACCAGGGGAAGGACTATTATTTAAAGCAGGGACATTTGACCTCCGTTGATTAGTACTCATTACCCACTTCTGACAACAGAGCCCTTTCCCTTAAGAAACCCATTCCATGTGGTTTGGATGGGGCTAGCCTACTGAGAAGTTGGTACACGGCCTTAGGCCTAACCAGTCAAAGACTCCATATCTCCGACTATATGGATTGGTTCAGAAGTGGGCATGTGACCTCAGACTAGGCCAATCAGAGTCCTCAAGACTTTTCTGCTGGAGCTCTCAGGAAACACACTTTCTGTCACTTGAATTGCTAAGGTCAATCTGGCCTCCCATCTAGTAAGAACCCACTTGGGAAATATGTGTGTGTGTGTGTGTACCTGAACTATATATACTACATGATGTGGTGATTTGAGCAGGCTCTTATATATATATATATGAGAGGTAGAAACCTGTTGACATTATTCTAGCCTCTGGATCCAGCATTGCCTGAATCAGACCAACCCTGACATTTCAGTTCCATGAACCAATGTGTTATCTTTTTTGTAGCCTGAGGAGCCTAACTAATTGTCTTAAAAAATCTGGGCTAGTCATGGTGGCTCATGCCTGTAATCCCAGCACTTTGGAAGGCCCAGGCAGGAGGATCGCTTGAGCCCAGAAGTTCAAGAACAGCATAGTGAGACCCTATCTCCACAAAAACCTAAAAAGTTAGCCAGGTGTGGTGGTGCATGTCTTTAGTCCCAGCTACTCGGGAGGCTGAGGTAGGAGAATTGCTTGAGCCTTGAGCCAGGAGTTCGAGGTTGCAGTGAGCCATGATTGTGCAACTGCATTCCAGCCTGAGTAACAAAGTGAGACCCTATCTCTAAAAAATAAAATAAAATAAGAATAATAAAAAATCTCTTTTCTCTTCATTTTCACTATTCTACAACTCTTCAAAACTCAGCTTAGGCTGGGTGCAGCAATGGTTCATGCCTATAATCTCAGCACTTTGGGAGATCGAGGTGGGAGGATCACTGGAGTTCAGGAGTGGGCAACATAGCAAGACCTTTTCTGTACTAAAATTAAAAACAATTGGCTGTACATGGTGGCGTGTGCCTGTAGTCCCAGGTACTTGGAGGCTGAGGTGGGAGGATTGCTTGAGCCCAGAAGATTGAGGCTGCGGTGAACTATGATCGTACCACTGTCCTCCAGCCTGGGTGACAGCAAGAAAAAAAAAGACATGGCTCAAATTCTCCTTTTCCAAGAAGCCTGCTCAAATCACCCCATCATGTAGTATATATAGTTCAGATTACATTGCCTTGTACAAGCTTGTCCATACTATTATAAATTGGAGGTGGGGATGGTTTCTGGAAACTATGTGGTCCTCCCAAGTAGCTCAGGAGCTTCCAGGAGCAGGAGTGCATCAGGCTAGCTGTGAGGATCTGCACACTGGGCTCACCACCTGGGGTGGAGTGTGTGAGTGTGTGACGATCCAGGCACCCACCTGAGATCCTGAGGGTAGGTGTGGGCATGTGCATGTGACCAGAGCAGAGGTGATGTGCATGGCTGTGTGTGTGGTGACTGAATGAGGGATGAGTGAGCAGAAAGACAGGCTCTTCAGGAATCAGGACCAGTTCAGGGACAAGTCTCTGCAGGGCTGGCAGGAGCCCTAGAGCCCAGGCTTGTATGTGGTGGAGGGACTCGGCCGTGCCCTCCGCACTGGGTGCCATGGTCTCGCAGTTTGGTCTTGGGCTGGGACTTCCTTTACTTCCATAGTTCAGCTTTGTCTCTTCAACCACAGAAATCTGGGTCTTTTTAATTCTGCCTCCCCGGTCCAGGCGGGATGGCCTGGGCAGAGTCCCCTCTGCTCTTCCAAGTGGCTACAGGAGGAAGAAAGATGGCCCTTCTCTGTCGGGCAGGCTAGATGATTTGTAAGCACTGTTTTCTGAATCCTCACTGTGCCTTCACTGGCTCTTTGAACATTCAAGTGTCCCTGCCTGGGACATGACCCTCTCTCTGCCCTGCACCTACCTCCTCATCCTTTAGGTCTCAACTTGGACACAACTTCTCCAGGAACTTTCCCCTGCACCGGCTCCCATGCATGCGGGGTAGAGTCACATCTTCAAGGCTCCTGCAACCCCCGTCTGCCGTGTAGCAAAGTATCCATGGAGCTGCATGTTATAGATGCCAGTTTGTCTCCATCGCTTCTCTAGATGGGGAGCCCCTGGGGCTGTCCCCACTACCTGGTCTCGGTTTGCTCATTTTTTCAACAGCACTCTATTGAGCCCCAGCTAATGTGCCAGGAACTGCTCTCAAAGCAGGAAATACTGCAGGGAACATGATAGAGAAGGTCTCTGCTGTCACAGAGCTTCCAGCTTAGTAGGAAGAGAAACAACAAGCGAGTAAACAAATACTCAGAACACACATTTCACTGATAATCAAACAAATCAGGGTGACGCAGCTAGGAGAGCCTGGAGGGTGAGAGAAAGCCTCTTCTTTAAGAGCTGGTGTTTGATCTGAGATGTGCAGAAATCCGGGCAAGAATAGTCTAGGTAGAAGGACAAGCTGGAGAGCTCCCGCTAAGGTGGAACTATCTCCTACTTCCCAAGTTTGAGCAAGGGGATGAAGGTCGATGAAGGGGAAGAGTGGGAGGAGTTGAAGTCAGAGGGGCAGGTGCCTTGCACTGAATTGCAGGCTATGGCAAGGACTTTAGGCTTTATTCAAATAACAGTAGGGAAGTGATCTATCTTGTTTAAAATTTTAAAAGATCAGCCGGGCATAGTGGCTCACGCCTGTAATCCCAGCACTTTGGGAGGCTGAAGTGGGCGGATCACCTGAGGCCAGGAGTTCACGACCAGCCTGGCCAACATGGCAAAACCCCATTTCTATTAAAAATACAAAAATTAGCCAGGCATGGTGGCAGGTGCCTGTAATCCCAGCTACTCGGGAGGCTGAGGCAGGAGAATCACTTGAACCCAGGAGTCAGAGGTTGCAGTAAGCCGAGATCATGCCACTGTACTCCAGCCTGGGCAACACAGCAAGACTCTGTCTCAAAAAAAAAAAGTTTTTTTAAAAGATCATCCTGGCTGTTGTGGGTAGAATGGACTTTGGGGAACAAGCAGGGGACAATTGGGAGGCTCCAACAGCCACGTGGATATGACAGGTGATGGCTCAGACTAATGTGGCAGTGACAAAGATGGAGAAGAAAGAAGGGGCTTGGGACATAACTGAGTTAGGTCTGTGGGACTTGGTGATGAATCTCAGGTGGCTAGGAAGAGAAGGAGGAGCTCCAGGAGGCCTACTAGTTTTGAGAAATGGAGTGTGTGCTGGTGCCAGTTACCAAGATGGGAAAGGTTGAGGTGGGGACAGAAATCGAAAGTTGTATCTTATCTATGTTAATTTTGAAATACCTGGTAGATATCCAGATGGAGACGACAAGTAGGTGTGAGCCTGTAGCTCAGTGGAAAGGTCAGAGCTGAAGATGCAAGTGCAGGAGGCCTGAGCAGGTGAATGCTTTTCAAAGGCTCCATGAGCTCATCTAGTTCAAGACTGTCTAGAAAATAATAGAAGGCCCGTGACCAAGCCAGATACACACAAGAACATATAGAGGTTGATGGAAACCAACAGAGGAGCTTGAGATGGGCAAAGAGAGACAAGAAAAGTAAGGAGGTTGTTTTCTCTGAAACCAAGAGATTATTTCAATGAAGAGACACAGCCAACCATTCAAATGCTGCTGATGGATCTGGTGCATTGACAGAGAAGTGACCACTGGCTTCAACAACATCAACGTTATTGGAGGCCTTGACCAGAGCAGTGTTTTCCTTTCCTTCCCCTTCCTCTTCCTCTTCCCCTTTCCTTTCCCCATCCCTTTCCTTTCCCTTCCCTTCCCTTTCTTTTTTTTCTTTTCCTTTCTTTCTTTCTTTTTTTTTTTTTTTTGAGACAGAGTCTCACTGTGTCGCCCAGGCTGGAGTAGAGTGGCGCTATCTCGGCTCACTGTAACCTCTACCGTCCGGGTTCAAGCGATTCTTCTGCCTCAGTCTCCAAAGTAGCTGGGACTACAGGCTCATGCCACCACGACCAGCTAATTTTTGTATTTTTAGTAAAGATGAGGTTTCACCATATTGGCCAGGCTGGTCTCTAACTCCTGACCTCGTGATCTGCCTGCCTTGGCCTCCCAAAGTGCTGGGATTACAGGCGTGAGCCACCATGCCTGGCCTCCCAAAGTGCTGGGGTAACAGGCGTGAGCCACCATGCCCGGCCTCCCAAAGTGCTGGGGTAACAGGCGTGAGCCACCATGCCCGGCTGGCTTTCTTTTCCTTTTCCTTTTCTCCTTCCTTCTTTCCTTCCTTCCTTCCTTCCTTCCTTCCTTCCTTCCTTCCTTCCTTCCTTCCTTCCTTCCCTCCCTCCCTCTCTGACAGGATCTTGTGCTGTCACCCAGGCTGGAGTACCCATAGCTCACTGCAGCCTCAAACTCCTGGGCTTAAGTGCTCCTCCCACCTCAGCCTCCCAAGTACCTGGGACTGCAGGTGTGTGCCACCATGCCTGGCTAATTTTCTTAAAACTTTTTGCAGAGATGGGGTCTTGCTACGTTGCCCAGGCTGGTCTTGAACTCCTGAGCTCAAGCAATCCTCCTGCCTCAACCTCTCAAAGCACTGGGGACTTGGGCAGTTTTAGTGGATTGGAGGCAAGGGGAGCCAATGGGGTGAGCATGGAGAGTGGGAGTGAGTTTGCGAGCGTGGCGAGTGTGGAGTGCGTGGGAAACTATCACACTGTGGAGGAGAGCAGAGAATGAAACAGCAGCTGCTGAGGAAAAGGGGCCTCAGAGGGAAGATTTCCGTTGTGTGTGTGTGTGTGTGTGTGTGTGCACGCATGTGTGTGTGTGTTTTGAGACGGAGTTTCGCTCTCGTCGCCCAGGCTGGAGTGCAATGGCACGATCTTGGCTCATTGCAACCTCTACCTCCCAGGTTCAAGCAATTCTCCTGCCTCAGCCTCCCGAGTAGCTGGGATTACAGGCGTGTGCCACCACCCTCGGCTAATTTTGTATTTTTAGTAGAGATGGGGTTTCACCACGTTAGCCAGGCTGGTCTTGAACTCCTGACCTCAAGTGATCCACCCACTTCGGCTTCCCAAAGTGTTGGCATTACAGGCATGAGCCACTGCACCCGGCCTCCATTGTGTTTTTGTTTTGATTTTTGTTTTCAGGAGATGGGCTCTCCTAGAGCATGGGTTTATGCTGATGGGAATGGCCCTATAGAGACAGGGAAATGATATAGGAAGATAATGAGGTAATTTCAAGGGAATGACCTTTCCAAGGCAAAGGGTGGGATCCACAGCACAAAGACATTAAAGGAGAGAGAAGAAGGCAGAGAGAAGATCCCAAGGATATTAGGGAGAGTGCCGTGAAGTGAGAAAGCCGGCGTGGTGTGTATCTGTCCACACATGGGTGTGGACACAGAGGAGGTGGACAGTTAAGACAAGTGGTTCCTGAGTAACCCAGAACTTGGGCCTGATCAAGAGGATGAGTCTGTCCTGTGGAAATATGGGACTCAGGCCTTGGGCCAGGGTGTCCCTGTTTCTGGGCTGGGAGCATCAACACATCTGCTGGTCTTTGCTGATCTTGGACTCACCCACAGAGATGTCTGTGCCACCCCTGCTGGCTCCTGGTGTGTTCGGTGCTCAAGAAACCCTTTCAGTGGCAGAGGAGCTACCTGAGGTGGGATACCTGCATGTGGACTAATTGCATGGGATTCTCAGTTCTTGCGTGCTCAGCTCTCTTCACATCCCTCCCACCCCAGCATGAGGTAGAGGAACCACATGGTGGACCCAGGAACACAAAGATAACACAGCATGGGGCTGGGCCTCGTCCCAAACATACTTGGAAGCCAAACAGGCTGTCCTGGGACCCAGCACAGGCACAAAGAGCTGCTCAGATGGAGTTTTATTGGGGTGTATGTGTGTCTCTCTCCCACATCATCTGGCACCCACTTGCCTCCAGAGAAAGGGCTTCTTCATCTCTCACGTTAGTCATCCATGCCTGCACGAACAACTGGCTCTTTCCACAGCTTCCTCACCCATCCCGGGGCAAAGCCAGCACGGTGCCTGGCACAGAAAGTTGCTTCATACTTTCCTATCGAATAAACAGATGAATGCACACTTTGAACAAGCACCCACCCACAGGCGAAAACACCCACTTCCTCTCCAGCCCGGCAGGGACCCCTCAGAGGCATGAGCATCCCCGTGGCCCAGTGCTCGTTCCCACCACAGTGATGAGGCTCTGGACCTTGGGCTGAGCTCCTTGTTCCCCAGTGGAAAGG
This sequence comes from Homo sapiens, assembly GCF_000001405.40. Lineage (NCBI taxonomy): Eukaryota > Metazoa > Chordata > Mammalia > Primates > Hominidae > Homo > Homo sapiens. Next base: position 20,118,324 of record NC_000002.12, on the reverse strand, counting down.
CCACCTTGGGGACTGCTGGGCCAGGAGGTCAGCCAGTCAGCGGCCATGCTGAGCAGGGACAGCTGTTTCCAGCAGGGCTCCCAGTTCTGGGATTGGGCCGAAGGGATGTGGCCCAGGCCAGGCCTGAGGAGAGATGAGCCACCCCACCCTCCTCCTGATCTTCCAGCTGCTCCTGACCTCCACCTCCGGGCTCCTCCTGCTCCTCCAGCTGCTCCTGACCTCCACCTCCGGGCTCCCCCTGCTCCTCCAGCTGCTCCTGACCTCCACCTCCGGGCTCCTCCTGCTCCTCCAGCTGCTCCTGACCTCCACCTCTGGGCTCCTCCTGCTCTTCCAGCTGCTCCTGACCTCCACCTCCGGGATCCTCCTGCTCTTCCAGCTGCTCCTGACCTCCACCTCTGGGCTCCTCCTGCTCTTCCAGCTGCTCCTGACCTCCACCTCCGGGCTCCTCCTGCTCTTCCAGCTGCTCCTGACCTCCACCTCCGGGCTCCTCCTCAGTGCCTGGTCAGCTGGACGAGGAATGGAAACCCCAGTCAGATTTCTAAAAGAAATCTGAGAAGCCAGCCTCGGGAGCACTTGCCAAGCCCTGCTGAAGTTGTTCTCCATCTGGTCATGAGCCAGGAGGAAGACCGAGGTCAAGTGACAGAGGGCCCACAAGTGACACCGATGAGGGGAGCCCACGCTGGCCCCAGCCCTGCTGGGCAGGAGAAGGCAGCCACTGCGGGCTGCAGAGCAGAGTGAGGCTGCAGTGCCAGGGAAATGAGAGGGCTGGAGACAATGAGGGTGACCCCATTTCAAAAGTCAAGGCTGGGAGAGGAGCACGACCCTGCCCAGCAGAGCAAGGGTCCAAGGAAGGCTTGCCTGTGGGGATGCCTTGAGGAGAAGCCAAGACAAGTGGGGAGACCCGGGGGCTGAACTGGACTCCTCTGAGTGACTGTGTTAGCCCTCGCCATAATGAAGTACCGCAGGCTGGGCAGCTTGAACGAAGGAGTTTATTTTCTCACAGTTTGAAGGCTAGAAGTCCGAGATCAAGGTGTTTCGGGTTTGGTCCCTTCTGAGGCCTCTCTCCTTTGCCTCCAGATGGCCACAGCCGCCTCCTCGCTGTGCCCTCCTATGGCCTTTCCCTTTCTTATAAGACCACCAGTTCCATTGGATTAGGGCCTCAGCCTAACAGGCTCATTTGAACTTCACCACCTCTCTAAAGACCCCATCTCCAAATGCAGTCACATTCTGAGGTACGAGGAGGTTAGGGCTACAACATACAATTTTTGGGGGACACGATTCAGTAAATAACAGTGGCTATGGAAACATTATCTTGATAGTGACTGTGCATGTTATACAACAATTGACTTCTGGGCCCAAATAATATACCAACAATAGGGTGAGAGTTCCTCCGGTGTGTGTCTGTGTCTGTGTGTGCATGCGTGTGTCTATGTATGTATGTATATGTGCGTGCATGCACATGTGTATGTGTATGTATGTGTGTATGTGTATGCATGTATATGTGTGCATGCATGTGTCTATGTATGTATGTATATGTGCATGCATGCACGTGTGTATATGTATGCGCGTATGCATGTATATGTGTGTGCATGCACGTCTGTCTATGTGTATGTGTGCATGCATGTGCGTATGTATATATGTGCGTATGTGTGTGTGTGCATGTATGTGTATGTATGCGTGTATATATGTATACATGCATGTATATTTGTGTGTGTCCATGCATGTATGTGTATGCATGTGTGTGTGTATGTATGTATACATGTATGTGTGTGTGCATGCATGGGTATGCATATGTATTGTGTGTGTATGCGTGTGTGTATATGCATGCACACACACACGTACACAGCAGCCTGCTGTTCACCCACTAGATCTACTTCCTTTGGCCTACCTGATTTTCCCCTCAGCCTGGGAGGAGGATGGGCATCATGGACCCGTTTTATGGATTAGCTGGAGGAACTTGCCCAGGTCACACAGCAGGCAAGGGTCAGCCCTGGCACTGCTACCCAGCTGCCTCAGTGTCCTGGACACTCCCCACCTACTGCCACATGCTTTCTAACAAGGTCACTCTGCGAGGACCTCTCACCCCCAGCTGAAGAGCCCCCAGCAGTCACCCGGGCTCCTCTGCCTATGTGGTGCAGGAGGAAACTGAGTGAAGTGAGTCACGAGGCTGTTAGGTTTGCAGCTTAATGCAGCTTCTTATCTGCCTGTGGCTTATCTCTCAAGCTTTTGATGATCAGGTTCTGTGCTGGCTCACAGCAGGTCCCTCAGGCAGGGCACACCCAGCCTTGGCCCCACCCTGACAGCCTCAGCCCTCCTTTTGGGGGCCTTTGCCTCTCCCATGCCTGAGAAACCTGTGGCCATTCCTGTTCCTCACTCTCATCCCTCTGCTTGTGTGCAGAAGAGCGGAGGTCCCCAGAAGCCTTCTCTGGAGGGATGAGAGCAGTGGCAGGCAGGGTGGGTGCAGAGGGCAGCCTGGAGGCCAGAGGCCCAGTCTCCAGGACACCCGAGATTCTCATGGGGACCACAGAAGCTATGCTGTGCATTGGCCCTACCTGGTCCCACCTAGCAGGATGGCCTTGACCTGTGGTCCTTGCCCCACTGATTGAGGCACTGGATTTCCGGTTGGAAGGCTTCATCCAGATGCTTCTAAAGTGCTGAAACTCTAAAGTCCCTGGCTCCATGGCAATGGCAGGATGGGGGACCTGAGGGCAAGTCCTTCCTTATTCTGGCCACACCAAGTGAGGGAATCCCTGGGGCAGGGCTGCGGTCTGGAGGTTTCATCTTAGGCTGTTGGGTTCTTCCAGCCAAGCAATTGCTTAAGTATCATAAAGCAGGGGCCCTAGAGTGTCACCATCTACAAATGTGGGTTTAATGCAGACACTGTGACCTTTCCTCCCTGACCACAGTGGCCTGTGAGTGGACTGACAACTATGTTGTCACTGACCCCATGACAGCCAGGTGGCTTGGGCTATTTGGGGTCTCTTTTCCTAAGTAGCCCCAACATTCAGGCCTACCCTAGTCGAACCTCCAGCAGAGGCCAGAAAATGATGGCCAAAAACCACATACTGCCAGAGCTGTCAAGGACGCCCTCTCCCTTACTGTGCAGACCGTGGGGCCCACAGCTCGCTTGCTCATATCGGTTCTAGGCTGTGTTCAATTGCTACCATACCCTGGGCCAACCGTGCACCCAGAAGGTGGTAGACACTCAGACATGCTTGTATTTGTGAATGAATAGCTAGGTCCAGTCCCTGGTTAGGTCATACCTCTTTGGCCCATCCCCACTCCCAGTTGGGGTTATGGCCTGAAGGTCTTGAGAGCAAGCTCATCAGTGCGGGTGGTGGGGACACCTCTCTGTTTTCACCAGGACCCCACGGTGGGTTGCCTGGTTGGAAAGGACTGCAGGTCTGTCCCTGGCCATTGCTGTAAGTGTGAGGCTTCCTAGGAAATAAAGAGGCATTGACTGCGTGAGCCACAGCAGGTAACTGAACCTGACTGATTCCCCTCAGACCAAACCCTGAGGCACTCTAGGCTGGGCTGTGAAAGGCGCTGGCGGGGCCTGGCCAACCTCCAGGAGCAGTGTGAGAACGTGGCCTTTAGCCCTGCCAGTCCGCACTGGGGAGCTGGGGTGGAGGGGGCTACTGAGGACCAGACACCAGCGCAGCCTCTGACGGACACTTCAGGAAGAACCTCAGCGGCCCCACAGTGGCCACTTCTCCTGTGTTCTCCCTCACTCCATGGGCTTCCAGACTTCTGTCTTTTGATGGTTGAGGGGGTCTCGGGAACCCCTTATTCTCATAAGCAGACATGCAGGGCTCCTGACCTGTGCCACTGCCTCCCCTCCTCAGAACAACCTTCCGCCTCTGGAGAAGGATGATGGTGAGTGGAGGAAGCCCCTTGGAGGAGGGCGTCAGAACCTGCATCCGACAATCCCATCATTCTTTCCACCACATCTTTGGGAGAAGGTGGCTTCTATGTGTTGACCCATCAATGACTCCGAGTGTGGGAAACCAAGGGTCACGGGGGTGGGCGCTCCTGCCTAGGGGGCCAGTGAAGCTGCTGCTCTGAGAACGAGCCTGCTGTGCCAGAAAGACTCAGTCTGGCCTGGCTGATCCGGAGCCTGAGGCTGCAGGAAACCTGCCTTTCCTGCCCGGCACTCCCGCCCCATCAGGGCCCTGGGAGAGGGCAGGGCACTCTCACCAGTTCTCACACAAAGGTCTCTTGGGTTGGGTTCCAGAAAAACAAGACCTTGCTCCAGCCAGCCCACTCACTCTTCTTCTCTGCTTGGTGCAATGGAAAGTGGTAGACAGTTCTGGGTTCAATGAGGCCTGGGGCCAAGCCAGGTATTCTCTCCAGCTTGATTTCCTGCTCTGGAAAACTCTGTAAAACAGGATCACAGTACCTGTTTTAGTGGAGTTGTTGTGAGAGTTACCTGAGGAGATGCCAAAACTGTCTGCATCTTGCGGGCATTCCCTGATTGGTAGTTCTCGTCCCCACTCTGGTTCCCAGAGTCCTGAGCCCTGGGGCTGTCTGTGCCCCTGGCGCAACCCTGCCAGACACTGGCCATGCCCAAGGTTCAGCCTGGGCTTCCCAGCTCTTTCTCTTGTCTCCCTGTGCCCGCAGCCAGCTGCTCTGGTGCTCTCCTTGGAGCCTGGTGGGCTAAGTCCCACCTCCAAGCTGTGTGCTGCTGGAATGGGACTGCCCTACCTCCCTCCCTTCCCCTGGACCCATGTTTCGTGCTCCTTCGAGGCTCCTCTTCCAGGCAGATAAAGGTCTCTTCCTCAATGAACCTCATCAGAGCACCCCTGGCCCCATGGTGGCCATCGTCCACTGGCAGTGTCTGCCAGCAGCCTGGGGCCCTACTAGCAAGCCCCATCCATGCCTCACTGGGAAATCCAGCTGACCGTGCAGGGTCCTCACAGAGCAGCTTCTGCACTCTCTGACCTGGGCCTGTTCGACACAGTTATGCGGTCCTGCCCTTTGAGGGAGTCAGGACGGTGGCGCCAGCGTCATTGCGCCTTCTGGGCACTTAGTGCTTCATACCCAAGATCCCCAGTCCTCACAACAACCACAACACGGTGACAATATACCACCTTGACGGATGGGTATTATCCCCACTCACAGAGGAGGAAACTGAGGCTCAGAGAGGTTAAGTGACTTTCCTGAGGTCACACAGCTAGTAAGTGATAGATCAGGGACTTGACCCTAAAGTCTATGCACTTTTTGCTGTATAAAGAAAGGTACTTCTGGCGGGGGCTGGGGGTGAAGAGATGTCTCAGATCTCTTGGGCAGTACAGGGCAGCAGCACCCCTCATTTGGTGCACCCCTAGCCCGGTGGAGTCATCTTTGGAAATCCCATTTCATCTTTGACCCTTTAATGTTTGAGGCCTGACTCCTGTCCACTCTAGATGGCCGTCAGGGAAACACTCAGCTTCAGCTGGGCCTCCGTGGTGGGGAGATACTCTTCCCAGACAGCCAAAGCCTGTCTGCCCGCTGCTCTCCCTGTCCTCTCCCTCGGCCCAGCCCCACAGTTCTGGCTCTGCCCCATAAAGGGGATCGAGGATGAAATGGGAGGCTCCCAGGTTAGGTGACTTCATGGACTCAGGGGCTGTCTGCCATGCCCAGAATACATCAGAAATTCTTCATAGCTGCTAGTCTGTAGTTTGCAAAGAGACAGATTTGAATTCATACGGTGGCTGCAAAATGTACTGTTGTGACACAATGGAACGTTTATTTAACTTCTCTGAGCCTCAGTTTTCTCATCTGTAGAATGGGTTCTTATAAGGATTAAAACCTGAGAATACCGGCCGGGTGCGGTGGCTCACACCAGTAATCCTAGCACTTTGGAAGGCTGAGGCGGGTGGATCACTTGAGGTCAGGAGTTCGAGAGCAGCCTGGCCAACATGGGGAAACCCCGTCTCTACCAAAAATACAAAAATTAGCCAGGCATGGTGGTGCGTACCTGTAATCCCAGCTAATTGGGAGGCTGAGACAGGAGAATCACTTGAACCCAGGAGGCAGAGGTTGCAGTGAACCGAGATCGCACCATTGCACTCCAACCTGGGGGACAAGAGTGAAACTCCATCTCAAAAAAAAACAAAACAAAACAAAACTGAGAATAAAGCTTTTGGTATTGTACTTGCCATACAGTAAATCCTCCATAAATGGTGGCAGTTGTTAGCATTTCTGTAGTTCTGGATATTTTGGGTAGAGTCACCTGCCCAGGAGTTGGGGAAATGTCTGGATTTCATTACTGCACTGTACTGAGAGTTCACAGGGATGATTCACTAGGTAGAGGAACGCTCTGTAGATCAGAAGGGCCCACAGTGGGATGAGCTTCCGTAGGGTCAGGAGAGGCAGCCCAGAGGAAGTGAACTCACATCCGAGGGCAGCCACAGTAGCCCCCAACTCAAGGGCCTAAGCCCTGCCCCCGCCTTGAGCCCTCTGCTCACTTGTAGCCTCACTCCACAGCCCCAGTGAGAAGAATGCACGCCTGAGAGTGTCAGCATCACAGACGTGGTGCAGGAGGGCTCTGCTCTGTGGCTTTTGTGGAAGGTCAGCCCTGCCCCTGACTGCACAGGCAAGGTGGGCCCAGAATGGCATCAGGTTGGCCTGCATGGGAGGGTCTTGATACCAGGTTGAGGAGGCTGTACTTTCTGCAGCAGGACAGGAGCTGGAGGTGACAGAAGCAGAAGAAGCTAGCAGAGGGCTTGCTCGGGGAGCCAGGGAGAGATGGATGGGACCAGCTACACAGGAGGACTTCCCACCATCCCAGGGCCCGTGCTCCACATCTTCAGAGCCACCCTTTAGCAGGGCTTGCTAGGCTGGGCCAGCACTGTATTGAGGCTAGCACAGAGCATCAGCCTGCCTCGAGGCTGGGCCTAGGCCCCCTGGGAGCCAGGCCCCGGCACACTTGTGCTGTCTGGCAGGAAAACTCTCAACTGTTTTAACTGGATTTCCAGAGCTCTCAGGCTTGGGATGGGGACCTCAGGGAGAGAGGCTGGGGGAAGAACCAGGACATTTCCTGGGGCTTCGGCTGACTCAGGAGCTTCAAAAGCAAAATTGCTTCCAGTTTTTGTTTGCATAAAAGAAGCCGGTGGGAGGAGGAAGTAAGATCTGTCTGCTTGTGGACAAGGTCAAAGACCTGTAAGATTTCCAGGGGATGGAACCCCTTCTCAGGTGACCAGGCATTCCCACTATATGCCCTGGCGGCTTTGCTGGTCACAGCATGGCGGCAAATTACATGTTATTAGAGCAGTCCGGATAATGAAGTCACTGCAGACCTAATCCTATTTATTTCAATGACAGCTTTGGCAGAGCAGTAAATCTTGCTGCCAACCGTGTCTCTTGTGGCCAGTTCCCTGAAGGAACTACCATCAGATATGACTACAGGGAGGGGTCCTTGTTAGAGCCTACATTCGCTATTCGTCACCTTTTTCCTCCAAATGGCAAGTTCTCCCAGGAGAGCCTGCCCATGTGGCAGATTGTACTTTCAAAGTATATCTCATCTCACATGCTCTCCCTGACACTCTTCCCATTGAGTCCAGGAGAGGTATATGTCGCCTCTCCTTGTACCTTAGTGGAAGAAACTTTATGACTACCTTGATGAGTAGAAGTCATTGCAAAAGAGACACTATGTGACTTCCACAGCTAGGTCAGAAAAATGCCATGCACTTCTACCCAGTGATCTTGTATCCCTTGCTCTTGGAATCCAGCCACCATGCTGTGAGGAAGCCCAAGCCACACAGAGAGGCCACGGGCAGCTGTTCTGGCTGATGATTCCCCATTAGGGGAATCAGCACCAGCCACCAGACATGTGAATGAGGAGACTGTCCATATGCCTCCAACCCCAGACTGCAACTTCATGAAAGACCCTGCGTGAGAAGCACTCAGCTGAGGCCTGCCAGCCCCCAGAGCTGTGAGAGGTAATAAAATGATTATAGTTGTTTTAAGCCACTGTGATTTGGGGTGATTGGTTACATAGCAATAGATCACCAGAATACCCATGAACAGTGATAATGGACAGCCCTTGCCTCTCAGGCATCTCTTATTGAAAAATGGAAGTCCAATCCTTCCTTCCGAACTTGCCTTCTCAGGTTCTGAAACTTCCGACTATCAAGTGATTCAATCTCTCAAAGTGAGATTTGAAAGTGGGACTTCCAGGCCGGGCGCAGTGGCTCATGCCTGTAATCCTAGCACTTTGGGAGGCCGAGGCGGGCGGATCACAAGGTCAGGAGTGACCAATATGGTCACTCCTGAACCAGCCTGACCAATATGGTGAAAACCCGTCTCTACCAAAAATACAAAAATTAGCTGGGCATGGTGGCTTACATCTGTAGTCCCAGCTACTCTGGAGGCGGAGGCAGGAGAATCGCTTGAACCCAGGAGGCAGAGCTTGCAGTGAGCCGAGATTGCGCCACTGCACTCCAGCCTGGGTGACAAAGTGAGACTCTGTCTCAAAAAAAAAAAAAAAAAAAAAGTGGGACTTCCAGTTGTCAGAAGCTGTCAGAACACTCTCCTACTCACTTTCTTAAGGAAGTTAATCTCTTTAACATTTTTACTAAGAAAGGCAGTTATGATGCAAATTATTATGGAAAGCTTATGACTCAAACACCAGGTAGACCCAGGTACCATTCCTGATTCTGCCAGTTTCTGGCACTCTTTCCTGAGATGAGTCACTTTGCTTCTCTGTGCTTCAGGAGTCTCAGCTACAAAATGGGAAAACTCACACTGATCTTCTAGGATGCTATGATAATTAGAGATTTTTTACAAACAGTATTATTCTTAAAAAAAAAAGGGAGGGGATTTGATACAGCTTATGAGCTTATGAAGATGATACATATAAACTGCTTTGTATTAGCAATAATAACTTATATTTGTCAAATGTCTACTAAGTGCCAGGCACTGTTTTAAGCACTTTGCACATGTTAACTTTTTTGGATGGTTATGACAACCTTGTGAATTAGATATTACTACTACATGCATTTTATAGATGGGGAAATCAAGGCACAGACAGGTTAAGTGACCTTCCCAAGGCTATACAGTAAGTAGCAGAGCTGGAATTTGAACCCAGGAAGTTTGATCCTAGAGCCCACTGTGACATACTGCATCTTGGTAAATGTTTAACTCTGGGTTCTGGGTGTGATGGAGTAACGCTCGGCCATCTCTTCCTGAAGAAGCGATCTGGAGCAATCTGGTGCTCAAACCAAAGTGCTATCAGTGGTAAGTAAGATCCCTAGCGCTGATGTGTGCTAATGGGAGAGATACAGTAGGGATGAAAGTCACACCCAGCAGCCCCAGGCTGCTATGGTGGTTACAGACCAGAGAAAAGGAGACATCTGAGGAAGGGGACATTTTGTAACATCAGGACAGTAGCATGCACCTGGAGCATTCAGAGGCCTGAGTTACTTGGACAGAGGCAGCGAGGGGAAGTGGAGCTGGTTGCAGAACTCTTGATACTGAGACCTGCCCTTTTACTCACTAGCCATGGGACCCTTGCTGAGTCACCTGCCCTCATCTCTGAAATGGCAATAACTTGTGCAACCTCCCAGATGAGAGCATGTAAACAAAGTGCCTGAAAAGCCAGAAATGGAAGCTACCAATAAGTTTTGGAGGAAAATTTACTTAAAATGAATAAGACACTTCCTTATCTTCTTCTTCTTCTTCTTCTTTTTTTTTTTTTGAGATGGAGTCTCGCTCTGTTGCCCAGGCTGGAGTGCTGTGGCGCGATCTCGGCTCACTGCAACCTCCACCTCCCGGGTTCATGTCATTCTCCTGCCTCAGCCTCCCAAGTAGCTGGGACTACAGGCGCACGCCGCCATGCCTGGCTAATTTTTTTTTTTTTTTTTTGTATTTTTAGTAGAGATGGGGTTTCACCCTGTTAGCCAGGATGGTCTCCATCTCCTGACCTCGTGATGAGCCCACCTCAGCCTCCCAAAGTGCTAGGATTACAGGCATGAGCCACCGCACCCGGCCCTCTTCTTTTTCTTCTTCTTCTTTTTTTTTTTTTGATGAGGTTTTGCTCTGTCGCCCAAGCTGGAGTGCAGTGGCACAATCACCGCTCACTGCAGCCTTGACCTCCCAGGCTCAAGAGATCCTCCTGCCTCAGACTCCCAAATAGCTGGGACTACAGGCATGTGCCACTACACCTGGCTAATGTTTTTGAGAGACCGGATGTTGCTATGTTGCCCAGGCTAGTCTCAAACGCCCTGGGCTCAAGCAATCCCCTGCCTCAGCCTCCTAAAGTGCTGGGATTTTAGGCATGAGGCACTGCATCTGGCCCTTATCTTCTTAAACAGAGAGTCTTGAACATCACTTAGCTTTTCTTCATGATTCAGCGTTAATCACTGTGCAGCGTTAATCACTGTGAACATCCATTCCCACACTGAGCTACAGAATGAGGAGGGGCTTAGAGGACACTGCCTTGTTGGGTTTGACTCTGCCCTGCACTGGATGACCCCAGGCTGCTGGGCTTCTGGAGGCCTCAGGCTACCCCTCGAAAGATGAACAGTCTCATCCCTCACTAAGACTATCACCTGTCACCTCTCAGCACTGTCAGAATGTTGGCCTAAAGCAGTTTAATGAGACTGATTTGTTGCTTCTAATCTTTTTTGTGTATTTACAAACCGGATGCCTGCATTTGTTAGAAATGTTCATAAAAACAGGGATTCCTGAGTACAGAGAACGGAGGGGTTCAGCTCAGGGTAAAGAGCATAAGCTTTCATGCATGGAGCTTGTGACATCCGTCTTGGCTGCTCAGGACCCTGTTTGCTCCATGGGTTTCAACCGCTCCAGACGGGGAATGTGTCACTGTAGCTGGTGATGGTGACCTGTTAGGGACTCTGTTTAGTTCTTTTTTTTTTTTTTTTTTTTTGAAACAGAGTCTCGCACTGTCTCCCAGGCCGGAGTGAGGTGGCGCCATCTCGGCCTCACTGCAACCTCTGCTTCCTGCGTTCAAGCGATTTTCCTGCCTCAGCCTCCGGAGTAGCTGGGACTATAGGCATGTACCACCATGCTCGGCTAATTTTTTGTATTTTTAGTAGAGACGGGGTTTCCCTGTGTTAGCCAGGATGGTCTCCATCTCCTGACTTCGTGATCTGCCAGCCTCGGCCTCCCAAAGTGCTGGGATTATAAGCGTGAGCCACCGCACCCGGCCCATAGTTCATTATTTTTACATTGATCTGTTTCTCTTCCTTCCTGATGTTTATTGTAACAGTAACTTCAGGGCAAACTCAGTGTCCTTCCCAGTGAGAGGTGACAACGTGCTAGCAGCCCTCACTCTTGGCGCTTCCTCGGCTTCGGCGTCCGCTCTGGCCGCACTGGAGGAGCCCTTCAGCCCGCCGCTGCGCTGTGGGGGCCCCTCTTTGGGGCTGGCCGAGGCCGGAGACGGCTCCCTCTGCTGGCGGGGAGGTGTGGAGGGAGAGGCGCGGGCGGGAGGAAGGGAGAGGCGCGGGCGGGAGCCGGGGCTGAACACGGTGCTTGCGGGCCTGCGCGGGTTCCAGGTGAGCGCCGGCTGGGCTTGATGGGAGGCTGAATCCCGTTCGTGGACCGCCGTTGCCTCTTCGCGGGATCGTTGGCCACAATAGCAGGTCTCCCTCTCTTTCTCGCTTCCCTTCTTTTCCTCGATTGTCTGGGACTAGCTCCCTGTGGGCTGCCGGAGTGCCGGGGTTTGGTGCTGCAAAGTCCAGCAGCGAGTCCCAGTGAGAGATGAAGCCGGCTGGGCTTCTGGGACAGGTGGGGACTTGGAGAACTTTTCTGTCTAGCTAAAGGTTTGTAAACACACCAATTAGCGCTCTGTGTCTAGTTAATCAGGTGGTGACTTGGAGAATTTTTGTGTCTAGCTAAAGGATTGTAAACGCACCAATCAGCACTCTGTGTCTAGCTAAAAGTTTGTAAACGCACCAATCAGCACTCTGTCAAAATGGACCAATCAGCTCTCTGTAAAATGGTCCAATCAGCAGGATGTGGGTGGGGCCAGATAAGGGAATAAAAGCAGGCCACCCGCGCTTGCAGCGGCAACTTACGTTGGTGTTTTTCCATGCTGTGGGTGCTTTGCTCTTTGGGAGAGCTCTTGCTGCTGCTGCTTACTTTTTGGGTCCTTGCTGCCTTTATGAGCTCTAACACTCACTGTGAAGGTCTGTAGCTTCACTCCTGAAGCCAGTGAGACCACGAACCCACCAGAAGGAAGAAATTGTGGACACGTCTGACCATCAGAAGGAACAAATTTGGGCCATATCATCTTTAAGTAAACGGTAGCACTCACCGTGAGGGTCCACAGCTTCATTCTTGAAGTCAGTGAGACCAAGGACCCACCAGAAGGAACCAATTCCGGACACACCAGGACACCACCTCTGTCTCTTTAGTCCCACATCCTCTATCCATGCCCTCGCCCCAACTTCTGACACAGCGTCTTTAGATTACCCATGCAGGCATTTTCTCAGTACCCCTATGTGTTCAGTGTGTGGCCATGCACTCAGTGGGGACTGCTAGGGTAGGCTCAGCCACAGCCCTGCCTTTCACGAGCTCAGTCTGGTTGAGGAGGCTAAGGCAATACCCAGAAACAGAATACAAATAGGATGGTGAGAAACAGAGGCTGGCCAAATCTATCCCAGTGTGATATGTGAGTGCCGTGGATGGTAAGGAGCAATAGCTACGGGCATGTTAGGAAAGGAGTTAAGGAGGACGCTTGCAGTGACAAAGGGTGGAGGGACAGCTAATACTTAGCAATGCTCCGGCTCCAAAAAATGCTAGCAGGTATGAGGAGACCCGGGCAAAGCCAGCCCTGGATCCCCTGAGAGCAATGAGGAGTGGGCAGGTTATGGAACATGGCTGGATCCCCTTGGGACTGGCTGATGGAGAGCCTGTGGGCCTCCCTCCAGGCGGCTGGGGCTAGGATTGGGGCTTGGGGATGGGTGGGGTGAAGAGCACCAGGAAACAAACAGCAGAAGGCATGTGAGTGGAGGAGGGCAGGAGGCTTGGGCAGTACCAGTCTCAGCTGTGGAGGGTGAGGGCGGGGGCTGAGACAAGTCATGGAGGGGGTGTCCAAGTTCCCCCAGGATCCCTGGAGTCCGCCCAGGCTAAGTTCAGCGATAGCTACTCTGGCCGAGCTGCAGACACTCAGGTTCTCCGTGGCTTTGGCTCTAGGTGACCCCTTACTCTGGCAGTTAGCAAAGTGAAATTGTAATGGGCACTTAGCAAAGTGAAACGTAAACAGAAAACGGGAAGCCTCTCAATTACCTTGAAATTGGTTTCAAGCCATGTTAACTGAGAACACACACTCCCTTCCTGTTAAACCTCATGCACACACATCACAACAAAAGGAAGTTCTTGTCCTTGCAAATTTGCAAGTGGCGGGGAGCATGCATGCTCAGGGAATGGCTGGGCATCCATTCCTTGCCCCACTCCCCCAACAAAGCAAGGTGCTTTGAGCATAGAGATAGATGTTCCAGGACATAGGGCCCTGGAAGAGCTTCAGGAGGTTCTTTGTGCATCCCCCAACTTTGTTGGAGCTCAGAGAATCAGCATATCGTCCATACCCATCGTGCCCCGATATGCCTGGCTCCCAGTGCTCTGAGGACTGGGCAGAGGGGCAAGACATTGCGCTTGGAAGGTTGGGGTCCTAATAAGAATTCTGGCAAGGGCAGGTCAGTGGAATCCTGGCTCTTGGTCCAGAGGCCCCAGGAGTGGAGCAGGACAACTGCGTGTCAACATTGCTTTGCACACACCCTTCAACTTCCATTGCATCCTCTCAGTAGATACCTGGCATCTCCACTTTGTTCACATGAAGCAAGAAGGGCCCAGAAGTGTGCAGCCACAGGTCACACACCTGCTAGGTGGCAGAACAGACTCCTTACAGCTTTTAGGGCCCAATATGATATAGAGGGGCCACTGGGGTGGAGGTATGGGGATGCCAATGGCAATTCTCACTCTTTCAAAATATGGCCAGGTGCAGTGGCTCAGGCCTGTAATCCCAGCACTTTGGGAGGCCGAGGTGGGCGGATCACCTGAGATGAGGAGTTCAAGACCAGCCTGGCCAACATGGTAGAACCCTATGTCTACTAAAAATATGAAAATTAGCTGGGTGTGGTGGCGCCCCTGTAATCCCAGCTACTTGGGAGGGTGAGGTAAAAGAATCACTTGAACCCGGGAGGTGGAGTTTGCAGTGAGCTGAGATTGCGCCACTGCACTCCAGCCTGGGTGACAGATGGAGACTCCATCTCAAAAAAAATAAAAATAAAAATAGAGACCCCTGTGTTTCAGAAACTATCAACAAGATGTGAGGGCCTCTCCATCCTGAATGTCTTTGGTTCTGCAGACTGCACTTCCCCATCTAGGTCCTGGGGAACACCCTCATCCCAAGGGTTCTGTCTCTTCCCAGAGAGAGGCACCCAGTGCCCCCAAGGCTCGATTGCACTGAGAGGTGGGTGGTCCAGCATTCAGCTGTAGACAGCTTTTCCCAAGATGTTGGAACCAGGCTCCATATCCTAATGAGACGCTTACCCTTTGATGCCTCTATTTTTCACTTGGCAGGATCATGCTATAACTGAAATTTCATAATCAGTAGCTTCTGCTTGTAACTTGACAGAACCTGACCTAAGAGATCCTTTAGTCCACCTAGTGGGTGACCTTGGCAACATCCCTAATACAACTGTTGCTCACTGTTTTAATTCAACCCAGTCATGGGATACTAGATGATAAAACTGCTCTATATTCTTTATTGATTAAATAAATGTCTGTACTATTGCTAATACTACATGCTGTACTTGGATAAATTCCTCTGGAAAAGTTGAGACTCATATACGCAAAGTTTAAAAGAAAAACAGGCCACATGGTTACAAGTCTCACCTAATTCCCCATAATCATTTCATTTATTCATTGGTTGCCTTTGGGTCTAGTTCATGACTCAAAACTACTACACCAATTGAGACTATTATTTTACTTGATATTTTCCTTTTACATTTTTATTTGTTACTTGTTAAATTTTTGCAGAAGTACAACTCCTAACAAATAATGCTGGCCTATACTTTGAGATGATAACAAATGCCTACAGAACAGATAAAACTGAAATTAACAATAGATTCTAGGTAGACTTAGCCTGAGGGTCACTCCCTCCAGAACTTAATTGCTCCAATGTGGCTGAAAGGGTTTTGACACTGACTCCTAGCTGCTAATCACAACTGGTCTTGGTGGGACCAGACCAAGCCAAACTGGGACAGGTCCCAGCACTGGGGGACAATCAAAATCTAACTACAGGAATATTGATCAGCAGTGCTTTTGGAGAAAGATCTTGATCAAAAGGGGGAAACGTGGAAGTTGTCAGAATCAGGATGGAGTTACTTATGTTAAAAACTCAGACAAATAGAGCTAGGGAAGCCCATGAAGGGAGGGTTGTCATGCACAAATACCTTATAACAACAACTATCACAAAAGACTCACCAACTTCACAATCTTGCATAAAGGCCAAAACAGCCTTACCAAAAAAATACTTCTGTATGAAAATCTGCCCATCAACTGCCTGTCGAACCTCAGACTGGTACCATCCCCCTCACCACCGTTGTCGTCGTCTTCTTCTTCTTCTTCTTCTTCTTCTTCTTCTTCTCCTTCTCCTTCTCCTTCTCCTTCTCCTTCTCCTTCTCCTTCTCCTTCTTTCTCCTTCTCCTTCTCCTTCTTCTTCTTTTTTCGTTTTTTTAGACAAGGTCTTGCTCTGTTGCCCAGGCAGAGTGTAGTGGTGTGATCATAGCTCACTACAGCCTTGAACTCCTGGGCTCAAGCAGTCCTCCTGTCTTAGCCTCCTGAGTGGCTGGGACCATCATACCAGACTAATTTTTAAAAATTTGTTTGTAGAGATGAGGTCTTATTATGTTCCCCAGGCTGGTCTTGAACTCCGGGGCTCAAGCAATCCTCCCACCTTGGCCTCCCAAAGTGCTGGGATTATTGGTGTGAGCCACCACACTCAGCTCACCATCCTTGTTACTAATCCTTGTAGCTAAGGACAATTGTCTCAAAACAATTATGTAATCCCACTTCTGACACCATTATGTCAAACTAAATAACAAATAGGAAGAATCCACAAAAGAAAATCATGTTTACTGAGGAATGGGCATTGCAATGGGAATATGAGTATCACAGTAAACTATATTCATATGCCCATGGCAATGTCTATTCCCAAATAAACATCATTTTCTTTTAGAATCTTCCTGTTATTTAGTTTGACAAGGAACACCTTTCTTTCTGCCATGCCCTGAGTGTGTGTCCATGGAAATGCCAAGAAAGCCTTGGGAAGTACTTGGCATGCTTTAAGGCGGAGCACAGAGAGGTCAGGCAGCATTTTATAAAGATCCTTCTGGCTGTCCCAATGGAGGCAAAGGGACAGGAATCAAGGAAAGGAGTTGGGGGCTGCTGTCAGAGTCCAGGAAGAGGTGAACCAATGTGTAGCCTCTGTCTTGACTTTAGGACCTCCTGAAGGAGTTCTTGGTACCCTAAGGGGCACCAGACCACTTTGAGAACTGTTGAATTCAGAATATGGTCATGTGAGCCACAGGTCCGGGTACAGATCTAGAATCTAAATGTTTTTTAAACAGAGGCTATCTTTGGCATTCGGGTTCTGTTTCTTTGTTCATCCGAAGAACCTGCATTGAGGTTTCAGGCTCCTGTGATGTTCAGCTGAATCAGGAGACAGTAACGGGAACCTTCCTAATCGTGTTAAGTAATTCATTCAATGTAGGCAGACAAACACAATTACAGACACTATTTTGTTTTCGTTTATAAGTCGCTTTCCAGCACAGAGACGTAAGCAGCATTATGGAACTTTAGAGCTAGCAGGGCTCTACGAATTTCAGTCCAACTCTCTTATTTTAAAGATGGAGAAGTTATAGCCCAGGTAGCCCAATGCAACCCAAGTTAATAAGCCTTGAGCACCTATGACGTGGCAAGTAAAATCAAGCAAAGTAAGATGCCAGTAACTGATGGATGGAATGTTGTTTTAGAAAAGGTGTCCAGGGAAAGTCTCTCTGAAAGGTGACTTTTGAGCAAAGGTCTGAAGGAAATGAGGAAGCAAGTCATGTAACATTTTGGGGAGAGGTTCCAGGCAGTAGAACAATAAGTGCAAAGGTCGTGAGGTCAGAGGATGCCTAGCATGTTGAAGAAACAGAAGGGAACCAGTGTGGCTGGCATTATGGGGCATGCAGAGTAGGGGTGGGAGTAGAAAGTGAAGTCAGAGAGGGGACAGGACAGATTTTGTAGGGCCTATAAGGCCACTCACTATGAGAACTTGAATTTTGTTCTGAGTGAGCTGAGATACGTTAGAGGGTTTTAAGCAGAGACATCCCATGATCTGACTTAGAGTTAATTTTGGTCACTACACGGAGAGTAGTCAGGGCTGGAGGGCTAGGGCAGAAGCCAGGAAATGAGTTACAATTTCCTGTAGTAATTACGACAACAGATGATGATGGCTGGGGCAAGGGCGATAGGAGAACAGAGATGATATGTAACTAGACAGAGTACAGATAAACACTGAAGGCAGTGTCTTGATGAAAGGGACTTGTCCTAGTCACACATAATCAGGACATGAAATAGCTGGGGTTAAGGCCTCAGGTCTCTTGAGTCCTTGGCCAGTGCCTCAGGGCCTTTCATATCTCTCAATGTCATCACAACTGGGAAGGTAGGTTCTATTAGTCCAGTTTTACTGATGAAGAAACTGAAGTTGAGAAAGAACAAAGAGAGCTTCCCAAGGTCACACAGCTGGTTAGTGGCTGTCTCAGGACCACACCAGTCGGACCCCAAAACCCCATTTGCCAGGGTATCACTACCGATCACCTCCTTCCCGTACACCTCAACCAACACTGTCATGGAATGAGGATGGCTGTGAACACGCCCCAAAGCCTCCTGCCCTAAAATGTACCCATTGGTGGCTCTTCCATTGGTCTTAGATCTCCATCACTAGAGATTTCTCTGCGGGGTGAGGCATTGAAGACCACTGTCGACTACGCAAAATGAGTGATTCCTCAAATCCCAACGAGCCACACAAGTGCCAAGGGAGCCCAGGAGGGTAAAGAGCAAGGGGGTCCAGGCCAAGCCCTCTCAGCAGTGGTTTTGGATGGCAAGAGTTGGATCAGGGACGGATTTGTTTCTTAGGACAAAGAAGACATTTTTCTCAGCTTTCTTGTTTTAGAGGAAAGAGTGGCTGTCCCCAGTTTGCTCAGGAGGTCGAGAGTAACCTGAAATGACAATGTTAGAGCTGCCGAGAGCAGTCTCTAGGCAGTGGCTGAGCAGGAAGATGGGTGAGTGATCTTCTGAAACGTGCTAGGCCAGCGAGAGATGGCTGGAATGCCTGCCTGGAACAGCTCACCCTCCTGCCTGTGATAGGCCTGCAGGTCAGGACCTCACCTGACAGAGTGAGGAGGGGGGTGTTTCCTCCCTTCTCCTGCGCACACAGCATTGCAGGAGCATGAACCCTGCCCGTCTCAGGCAATTTAGGTTCTTTGGATAGGCAAAAAAAAAAAAAAAAAAAAAAAAAAAAAAGGGACTTGGATGCTGAAGATAGACACTGAAACTTTCCCTTTTTTTGGTTCTAGATTTACACCCAGACTTGAGGCTCACATGACCATATCCTTTTTTTCTTTTCTTTTTTTTTTTTTTTGAGATGGAGTTTCGCTCTTGTTGCCCAGACTGGAGTGCAGTGGCACAATCTCGGCTCACTGTAATCTCCGCCTCCCAGGTTCAAGAGATTCTCCTGCCTCAGCCTCCAGAGTAGCTGGGATTATAGGCGCCCACCACCATGCCCGGCTTTTTTTTTTTTTTTTTTGTATTTTTAGTAGAGATGGAGTTTCAACATGTTGGCCAGGCTGATCTCGAACTCCTGACCTCAGGTGATCCACCCACCTCGGCCTCCCAAAGTACTGGGATGACAGGCGTGAGCCACCGTGCCCGATGTCACATGACCATATTCTTAATTCAGCAGTGCTCAAAGTGGTCTGGGGCTGCTTGGGCATTCCCACGACTTTCAAGACAGAGCGTCCCAAGATCAAACTTGTTTTCATAACAATATAAACTGATTGCTATTCAGATTGGAAAAAATAAAAATATGTAACCATACAAACACGTTATTTGCCCTTTCCACTTTCATTCTGTCTCAGGTGTACAGCGGAGTATTCCAGAGGCTACATGATATGATACGGCGAGAGATTGCGTTTAGAAGCAAATGTGAAAATCAGTTGTCTTCTACTAATCCAGGTCTTAAAGGGAGGGTTGCAAAAGTATAAAATAATGCCACTTTCTGTACATTAAAAAAAAACTAGTTATTTTTATTAAAATGTTATACTGGCTGGGCGCAGTGGCTCACATCTGTAATCCCAGCACTTTGGGAAGCTGAGGCGAGTGGATCACCTGAGGTCAGGAGTTCAAGACCAGTCTGGCCAACATGATGAAACCCCGTCTCTACTAAAAATACAAACAAATTAGCCAGGTGTGGTGGCGCCTGTAGTGCCAGCTGAGGAGGCATGAGATGGAGGCTGAGGCACAAGAATTGTTTGAACCCAGGAGGCAGGGGTTGCAGTGAGCCGAGATTGTGCCACTGCACTCCAGCCTGAGTGACAGAGCGAGACTCCGTCTCAAAAAAAGAAAAAAATAATAAAAAGAAAAGGAAAAAGAAAAAGTTATATTATAAAATGAAATTTTTAAATAAATATTAAAATTATCAGTGTTAGTTGCCAGTATGGTATAACTCAGTAGATATTAGCCACATAAACATATTGGGATCCTCAATAATTTTTGAGAGCGTAAACATGTAAAAAGTGTCAAGGAACAAACTGGTTCGGATAGAGTAGCTGTAGCCCGGCTTGGGCGGCTGCTGCCCCTGCCCCAAGGAGCCAACTGAAGCCTGGTGTTTCCCTAGGAACGTACCAAGTGCTGACCTGCACGCAGGGAGAAGGGGCAGATGCGGCTAAGACGAGTTGACATTACAAGGCAGCGACGCAAGAGGGCGGCCTTACCCACGGGCAGGTTTCTTGTGCTGGATGCAAGATGACTGATGCAAATGTCAGTTTTATTCACCTCATTAACGAAAAGCAACTTTGGTTTCTTGTTTACAATGATATAATTTTTACCTCTCTTGTGTTTCTCTGGCTCAATATGGGTTCCAGTAAACACGTGCTGCCTGCTCATTTAAGGACTCCACACTGGGGCATCCTATGTGCTGGGGCAGGCACTCCCTGGTCACACCCCTCTGGCCCCTCAGGACGGAATCACAGAAAGACACATCAGCCCTTTGACCCTGTGTCTCCTGAAGTGGCCGCTGGAACACTGGCCTCCCACGGGTCCTAGTGAGGGTAGGCGGACATTTACTCCGGGGACCTCCATAGTGGCAACCGTCCAGGCTGGCCACTCCTGGTTCCGGCTGACATCTCACACTTTGCTTTGTGATACCACAAAGATGTTTTCTTGGTTTGTGTGTGTCTCTGGCCCATCCCTGTGGTTCCCAATGCCTGAGACTGGTTCATAGCAAGTAACCAGACTGGGTCTTTAGAGGTAATTAGGGGAGGGGATGGGCACTGGGAGGGTCCCTGGCTGGAGGTAAGGGACCCAGCTTCCAGGAGGCCTCCTGAGTGCCCTTAGGCCAGTCATGTGTCCCCTGGAGCCACAGCTTCTCATCTTTCAAAGGGGACTTCTGCCTGGGTCAGAGAGCTGTTATGGGACTCAGGTGGCACAACCGTGCGGTGGGCGCTGTCTGCCATGATACTGAAGTATGAAGTACGGGTGTTTATGGAATTCTTTTCTCTCTCCTATTGGCGGGGGCAGTGGAAGGTGTTTTTTTTGTTTGTTTGTTTTTTGTTTTTTGTTGTTTTTTTTTTTTTTTTGAGACAGAGTCTGGCTCTGTCGCCCAGGCTGGAGTGCAGTGGCGCGATCTCGGCTCACTGCAAGCTCCACCTCCCGGGTTCACGCCATTCTCCTACCTCAGCCTCCTGAGTAGCTGGGACTACAGGCGCCTGCCACCAAGCCCAGCTAATTTTTTTGTATTTTTAGTAGAGACAGTGTTTCACCGTGTTAGCCAGGATGGTCTCGATCTCCTGACCTCGTGATCCACCCGCCTCGGCCTCCCAAAGTGCTGGGATTACAGGCGTGATCCACCGCGCCCAGCCGGGCAGTGGAAGGTTTTTGACAGGGAAAGGGCACAGTCTGTTTTGTGCCTTGGAAGGGTGTATCTGGTGACTGGTGAGAATGTTTGATTGATTGATCGATTGAGACAAAGTCTCTCTCTCTTGCCCAGGCTGGAGTGCAGTGGCACAATCATGGCTCAGTGCAGCCTCAACTCCCTGGGCTGAAGCCATCCTCCCACCTCAGCCTCCTGAGTAACTGGAACTGTAGGCATGTGCCACCATGCCAGGCTATTTTTTTTAGTGTTTCATAGAGATGGGATCTTACTACATTGCCCAGGTTGGTCTCAAACTCCTGGACTCAAGAGATCCTCCCACCGTGGCCTCCCAAAGTGCTAGGATTACAGGTGTGAGCCACCAGGCCTAGCCAGGAGAATGTTTTAGAGCACAAACTAAGTGGAGGGATGGGAGTTAGGAGGCAGTTGACAGGGGCCAGATAAAAGATGATGAAAGCCATCTGAGGTAGGCTATGAGAATGGAGGGCAGAGGGTGGGTGGGTGAGAAACCCTAGGAGCAGATGGAGGAGGCTTGGTCATCGGTTAGATTAAAGTGGGAAGGGGCCAGGGTAAGAACAGCCTAGGACAACTCCCAGGGCCTCTAGAAGGGGAAGGAGTAACTTGTTCTTCTAGACGGAGGGCGTTTTCCTCACTGGTCCAGCCTCACTGAGTTTGCTCAGATCCTGAAGGTGGTACAGGCTTTGTGTCTGGCAGCCTGAGGGCTCTCAGAGGGGCCTCTGCGGTCCCAGTTGGCTCTTCAGCAGCCAGGACCCCACCCCCATCAACCACTGACTCAGTAGGATGGACACAGGCTCCCACAAATAGGACTCCCCCTCATTGTGGTAGACAATTCATTAAATGTGGGCAGAGAAACATATTTACAGAGACTATTTCATTCCCTTTTATAAGTCATTTTCCAACACAGTGACATAAGCATAGTTGTTGGACATTGGAGCTACTGGGACTTTTAGAATTCTAGTCCAGCACCTTCATTTTACAGACGGGAAAATTGTGTCCCAAATAATTCAATTTGACAAACAATGAGCATTGAGCACCTATGATGTGGCAAGTAAAATCAAGCAGAGTAAGAGACTATGAACTGATGCATGGGGTGACATCTTAGGCTGTTCAGGAGCAGTTTCTCTAATAAGATGAGACTTAGGACCTCCCAGGCACTTCATCGACATGAAGGCCTTCAGCGGAGGCAGAAAGTGGACCGCAGAACTCCCTTTCCAAAGTAAGCTTACGCTCTGACTCCTACCACAGGCAAACTTAGCTGGATGCCTTTGCTTCCCTGGCTACATTCTAGAACGACAAGATCTGGTTACATTCTGGGGAAAATGGTATTTCCATCTATATTCAAAGGGTGGAAAAAAATACCTACTGTCAGAGAAATTGTCAAGGAAATATTTCAAGAAAATGTCCCAGACAAGAGGGACAAGTTTCCACATTAAAAGGGCCCATTCCAGCACAATGGATGAAGAGACCTACAGCAAGGTCGGTTATTGTGAAATTTCACAACACTGGGGACAAAGAGAAGATGTAAAAGCTCCCAGAAGAACAGAAAAAAAAAATCCCATCACATACAAAGGAGACAGAAATCAAGCTGGCTTTATGTTTCTCAGTTGCAACATTTTTTAAAGCAATGGAGCAGTGTTTTCAAAATTCTAAAGGAAAATGATTTCTAACCTAAAACCTATACCCAGCCAACCTATCAATCAACTGCAAGGGTAGAAAAGACTTTTCCAGGTATTCAAGTATCACGGCCCCAAATGCACCTTTTCTCAGAAAGCTACTGGGGGATGTGCTCTATCAAAACATAGGGGTGAAATGAGGAAGAAGGCAAGGGGACCTTAACCCAGGAGAGAGATGAAGGGATTTTCCCAAATGGTTATGCACAGGACTCTAGGGTTCAGAAGAGCTTCCCAGGAGGGTGAAGTTGGTAGGACACCACAGGCTTTCTGAACAGCCTGAAAGGAGATGTCTATACTTGACAAAAACTTTGGGGTTTCATTAGTAATAAGTACTTAGAAACTTAAACAAACTAAAACAAAGAAGCAAACAACAAGGTAATGATTAATTTCAGGAAAAGTACAAAATAAGCAAGCAAAAGGTTACCATGGTCTACTATATGATTCAGCTGTGAGTATTGTTGATGTAGTAATAATAATGTAATGCAAACTATTAATGAACTAAAATTATAATGTAACTCTATTTGAAGGGATAGGAAGTATGTTTATGTATACTGCTCTCACTATACATAAACATCTCATCTTCTGTAGCAGAAACTCAACGAATGACATTATAAGTAGAAAAATCAAATAGTAATCTAAGCATAATATTTACAGCTATGAAGGTAAATACTAAAAGAACCAGCTGAAAGCTTGGGAAGCAGGAAAAGGCAAAATCTGAGACTGGGGGCAGGGATCCTTAAACTATGACCATGCATAAACAATAAAAATTCAAACTAAACTCCCCCTCCCCAGGCATTCAGTGTTCTTTGTGGTTTGGCCTCAAGCTGTTTTTACAAGCTTATTTTCCACTGCCCCTCCTTCTTCTGACATACCCCTGATGCCCCAGCTTCAATTATAAACCCCTCCCAGAAACTGCCACCTTTCTCTAGAATGGCTTCCTCCTGCCTGTCTCAAGGTCCTAACTTAAACCCAACCTCTCCCAAGAAGCCTTCTCAGATCCCACAGAGCCAACCCCACCCACCGCCCAAGGAGGAATCAGCTGTTCAGGCTTCCTCCTCCTTATTGCAGCCATCCTGCTCCTCACGGGCTAAGGATCCATGCATGAGGCTGCCTCCCCACTGGGACCCAGGAGCCTGAGAGCAGGGCCTTGCCACTGTCTCCTACAGGGCCCAGCACCCCTGTGTATGGCCCCAGTTGCCTTGTTGAATCACAGTCCTTGGCATCAGGGCCAGATTCATACGTGGGGTGATATCAGTCACTCCAGAAGCCCCAACCCTGGGCTGTGAGGGTGGCCGACGGTGACTTCCTCCTGCCATTCAGGACAGAGGCCAGAGGCCTTCTTTCCCTGCTGGGCTCATGCTGCCAACATGCTCCTCCCAGGCTGCCCCCCACTCACTGGCTGGGCCCAGTCTTTCCCCTCACAGCCCTGTCCCTTGGCTTCTAGGCTCTCAACCTGTTTAGAAGGCAAGCTTGGTACAGGAGTCAGATTTCCTCGGAAAGATGGGGGGACAGTTAATTGAAAAAGGAGTACGTGTTCTTCTGGTGTCTTCTCACATTACCAGGAGGTCGCCAGCCCTTGGCATGGCCTTGTCTGAGGGATTTTGGCAAGGCAGGCTTGCTGTGTCTTTAATAAAAGCCCAAGCTCCCAGAGAGACCGTGTGGATGTCCTGCAGGGGGTGCCTTTGAGAGGAGCATGGAAGAGAGATTTTTTTTTTTCTCCCAGGCTGGAGGGAGATCACAGGGAAGCCTGTGAACAAAAGGCCAGCCCAGGTGCACCTTGGCCCCCTGGACCTTAGACCCCAGGGCTTCCAGCCTTGCCAGACATTCCCACAGTGGCTCAGAGCCACTGACCCGACGGGTCCATTTCAGATTCCTTCAGTCTGTGGTTGTCCAAACGGTAAATAGGAAGACCAGTAACTGATGACAGCAGGAAGTTCCTGAAGTTTTCACGCTGTGTAAGACCCCCACAGCCTGGGCACAGTCCTGGTGTGTGGGGATTTGGGGCAAATTAAAGTTGATTTGGAAGAATTAAGGCTAAGAGTCAGTGGGTCTCAGAGGCTTCTGCCCTTGCAGCCTACCTGGGCTGAGTGTGCACATGGCTGGGATCTCAGCGACACGTGAGGATGGCTTTTGTTCCCAGGGTGGCTGTGCCAATGAGGATGGCGAGGTCACACCAGAGACTGGGTGCCAAAAAGTGCCAAATTGCTCACAAGGGGAAAGGAATTACCACAAACAGTTTAGGCTAATTAATTCATCTCGTGAGGCTGGAAGGGGTGCTTGGATTCATGGCCACCTTCTACCAGGACAAGACGAAAAAGTGGCCAAAGAAGCCTGGTGGCTGGGAAGCCCTGGTGTCTGCCTCACACCTGCTTCAATGTGGTCCATACTGGGGAGGACTTTGCATGTCGCTGTGTAACCTGGAAGGAAGGGAAGAAGGAAAGAAGATCGACCTGTTCTTTCTGATGGAGCACGCCCCACCCTAAGCCTGGGGCAGGCATGTGTGGGCCTGCCTGGCTCAGTGATGGGGAGGCCACCAGAAATCTGTCTTGGGGACACAAGAGCTTTCTGGGAAAACATTCAAATTTGAGGACACAAAGTGTATCTTCACAAAGAGGACCCAGACCCAAGTCTGAATCAGTAAGAATCCCTTACTGACAAATCTCGAAGATGAGGAATGTTGGAAGGCCCACAGAATGGCCACCACTCTGGTTCATTCCCCCGCCCGGCGCCCTCATGCCTTCAACAGTAGAGTTAGTTCCATAGTTGAGTTAAAATAGAATGAGTGACTTCACCAAAGCTCTGTGAGTTATTGCAGCTTGCACTTTGAAACCATCTGGGAAGTGTAGCATTTTCCTGTAACAACGTGGCTTGGAAGACCCCAGACAACATAGTGCCGCTATGGCACCTCATGGGGAGCCTGGTTCATCATCATGGTGGTGACCTGGGGCAGTGGCAGTGGCACCGGGCAAAGGCGGCAGAGGCTGGTGGGATCTGGCAGCGGGCCCCAGGTGGGTCGTGGTGGCCCCAGCAGGTGACTTCATCTAGAGGGGGACACCAGCTGGGCCTCGGCGGGCACATACCTTTCCAGGAATTAGAAATAGGCACCCAGTCTGGGCCCCCCTCCGCTGGTCAGAAGCAGAACTTGACAAGCAGGGCTCAGGCTGTGTTCCAGGCTCAGGCTGTGTTCCAGCCTCTGCTTACTCCAGGCCAGGCACCTTTGGGTGACGGCCCTGGACACCAGTGAAACCCCGTAGGAAATCCAGATGTGCAGAGAAGAGACTGGGGGTGCCATGGACGTGGGGGCTGGGAAAACACCCTGGCTAGAGCAATGTTTTAAAATCTAGAAAACCATGAAGAAAATAATGGAAAGCATTTGTAACCTCAGCATTTGATCTTCAAGTTTCAGAAAACTCGATGCAGAGCGAAATCCGATTCTGAGGGTCGTTTAAGAGACCTTCCTTCAGGAGATGCTTTGGGTCTCACTGGAGGAACCAGGGCTTTGCTAGACCCCGGGCGCAGCTGCTCCCTCACTTGCCTGCAGCCCTGGCCAGGATGACTACAGTTTATGCTGAAAAGCGTTACTGCTTCCTGTGCAGTCCCCACTCAGGAATTCCATTTCTCTTGGTAAGAGTCCATGTGTCAGATTCCTGGGGCTCACTGTCCCTGGAAAGCCCCCAAGCTCTGGAAAATGATTCATCGATTCATGCTCATTTCAGAATATTGCTTGAGAACCTTCTCTGCCCCATCCTTACCTTCAGGGAAAAAAAAAAAATCAGTGTGTAAAAAGGCCAACATAATCGCTGGCACTCCTCCCCTCTGCCTGCGTGGGCCAGCACCTCTAACTCCCTGCAGCTGTCCCTTCTACTCAAAAGCCTGGCCCCGCTGTGTCAGGGCCATCATGAGGCCCCCATCACGAGGTCCTCACACCGCCTGCCAGAGATCTGGCTCAGGCTGCTTCCTCGCAGCAGTCATTCCCAGGAGGTCTCATTGTACGTCCCCAGCTTCATTCTGCCTTTTGCAATATCCCTTAGTATTGGCTCAGGAATAGTCTCCACCCTTTTCTTAAAGGTCCCAACAGATGAGAGAAGGTGATTGCAATGGAAGGAGGAACTGCTTCCATTGCACTCCTCTGATAAAACTTCAAGGTTCTGAAGGTCATAAGAGGTGGAAATGGAATAAGAAGGGTATTTTGAACCCCTTTAGCCCTGGACAGTGTGAACACACATCACCCTCACACACACGCTGACACAACACACCTGCATGCTCACACCTGAGTGCTCACACTGTGTAACGGGCTCAACCTCAAGCTGACCCCTAAGAACTTTAACGCTTCCCTGAGTGGGAAAGGGGTTGCAAACAGCTTCCGACACCAGAGGTGGAGGCTTCAGTTGTCTTTTAGGGAAGATCCTTCTTTTTGCTTTTCTTCCTTCCTTGTCTCTCTCCCTTCCTTCTTCTTTCCTTCCTTCCTTCCTTTTTTTCCTGGCTTCTTTCCTTCCTCAGCAAAAAGGGCCCTTGAGTCCCACAAATGTAGTGTGACCATTGTCCTTGGGGGAAACTGTAGTTATTAACTCATAAAAGATTGTGTATAGACCCGTGTAATGAGGAATGTCTGAGTTGTCACCAAAGCTGCTGGGAATTTGTGTGGGGTAGGAGGTGGCGAGGGGTGTATGTGCAGGGACAATGTGGAAAGAAGGGAAGAAAAGAGCTTCCGAAGTGTGGAGGAGGAGGAGGGACAACCCTGGGCCTTCACGTGGCTTGTTCCTGGGGTGAGGCGGTCACTGCCCAGGCATTTCACACCGGCCGTTATGAGGGCTTCTCGAAAGCTTTTTCTTCAGGAAAATGAAAATACATAAACACCACAGATATGCTCACAGATAATTGTACTACATTGTTCGGAAGTAAAAGAACTGTTTCTAAAAAAATAAAAATATTATAAACACCACCTAATCAACACGTTGAAATTAATAGCTGAACTGTGTGAGTGCATACTGTCAGCAAGCTATGGACATGTTGCCCTCCATGAGCTGGCGCTCCAGTGTGCTTGGGGAGGCCATCCCAGGCGGAGAGGGCTTCTTTGAGGGGGTGCAGGCTGAACAGAGGGAGGAAGCCGAGGGGCTGCTTTCATGAGGCACTTGGTGGGAGGCAGGATCAGGAATAGCACTTTTCTTCCTCATTTACACGGAGGCAGAGCACCATCACTGCTCTGGCCATGGGGAGTGGACCTTGGCGGCTTTCAGGTGATCACATCACCGAGAGTCCTTCAGGAAACTTGAAGAGCAATGGGCACTGGCTGGGGAGGCCAGACCAAGAGAGGATACCAGGAGTGCCAGGACATCTGTGGTGGACCAATGGGCTCGGGAACTCTTGGGGTCCCCTTTTGAAGATGCCCAGAAAATAACCAAGAGGTCAAACACAGGCTGCAGAGGTACTGAGGGTCTGCCTCCTGCTAATAGGAACTCAGAGTCACTGATATTTGGGCTATCAGTTCAAAAGAATCTTTTCTGCTCTGTTCTGATAAAAACAGGCGCTAGCAGCTATCTCAAAAGGCCAACCTTATGTTCCACAAGAATGATGTTATCTGCAGGAGTGATTGGAAAAGTTGTGTATCTTGTGACCTCCGGAATAATGGCTGGCAATAATTTATGTCTACACCTTAGCAGAATTTAGGCTCCTCTCCTCCCCCTAACCTGGTGGTCTCTCATTAGCTTTACAAAGGTGGTTGAGTTTTGGGGGAAGGGCTATTATTTAAACTATAAATTATTGTCTTCCAAAGCTAGCCCTAAGCCTATGAATAATGAAGTCAGCTTGAAGGCAAGAGTGGGGTTGGTAGATCAGATCTCTGCCATTGCCATAATGTTCTCACTGTTATCATTTTTGCAAAGGTGGTTTTACTTCTACATACTCTCTAAAAGAATTCACCAGATCCTTGAAATTTATCCAGGGACTGCAGGTGAAGAACAACAAAGCTAGAGAAAAGGGTGTTTGGTAATCCTGATTCTAATGAAAAAATTAAACTTCATATTGAAGTTAATCTTGTTCAAAAGTTATCATGTCTTAGGGGAAGTAGTGCAAAATGCAGAAGTAGTTTAAACATCCATCAGAAGGGTCCTCACTCTACCAGGACAGGACATTTACTCCCCAGTCTGTGTGTGACACTTTCAGCTGCAATAAGAACTTCTTTCACCAGAGTAAATTCAACAAAGGTTTGTTTTTAAAAAAATACAAACAAACCCAGGCTATTTGATTCTAAAGCCTGTGGTTTTTTATCCCCCCATTATACCACAGGTACCAAACTAGACAGATGTTTAAGTTATTTAATAACTATGATTAAATTGTTGAACTATAATCAAAGGATGTAATTTAAAAAGAAAATTGTTGCATTCAAATTCCCAACACTATGCTGAAGCGAAAGTTAAGAAAAAGAACTTTGTATTCTGGTCAAGGAAGAGGGAGTTGGAGACAGGCAGCAACTAGAAACAAGGCAGTCAGTGATCAAAGGGGAGAACCTTAAATGCAGTCCAAGGACAGGACAGGCAGCCTGCATGGCTTTCTAGCAGAGACCATGGCTGGAGAAAGGAGGCTAGGGAAGGTTGGTAGGTGGGAGAAGCGTGTCACTTTAAGTGTGTCACTTCTTCCTACCAAGTCTGAGGTTTCCTGTCTGGGCCATAAAGGGGTAAGAACAGATCTTCCTAAAAGCCTTCCCAACTCTATGTTCCATGACTGTCCAAGGGAATAGCATAGGCAAAAGCTGTGAGGCTGGATTGAACCACAATGAATTAGTTGTTTGTCTAGGAGTCCTGTCCACTTAGAAAAGTAGATGCATTCCAGGAGATTACAGGGGAAAGGCTAAGACTCCTCAGATGCGAAAATGATTAACCTTGGTGCTGAAGACAGTGGGAGCCATTGTAGGTCCTAGAGGAAAGACGTAGGAACATGATTAATCCAAACAGCTAAGGATGGAATGAGGAGGGAATGGAAATCTGTACGTGCACTGTGTTGAGTATTTTCTATTTGCCTCTCTGCCCAGATCTATTCTATGCCCTGCTCTGTGCCAAGGACCCCCTGATGATTACATCAAGGGACTCTGTCTTAGTCTGTTTTCTTTTGCTGTGACAGAATACCACAGACTGGGTAATTTATAAAGAAAAGAAGTTAGGCCAGGCGCAGTGGCTCACGCGTGTAATCCCAGCACTTTGTGAGGCCAAGGCGGGCAAATCACCTGAGGTCAGTAGTTCAAGAATAGCTCTGCCAACATGGTGAAAGCTTGTCTCTACAAAAATACAAAGATTAATTGGGCATGATGGCGGGTGCCTGTAATCCCAGCTACTGGGGAGGCTGAGGCAGGATAATTGCTTGAACCCGGTTTCATGTGCGTCCGTGTGAAGAGACCACCAAACAGGCTTTGTGCGAGCAATAAAGCTTTTTAATCACCTGGGTGCAGGCAGGCTGAGTCCGAAAAGAGAGTTAGTGAAGGGAGATAGGGGTGGGGCTGTTTTATAGGATTTGGGTGGGTAGTGGAAAATTACAGTCAAAGGGGGTTTTTCTCTTACAGGCAGGGGTGGGGGTCACAGGGTGCTCAGTGGGGGAGGTTTTGAGCCAGGAGAAGGAATCTCACAAGTTTAATTGCTCAGTTAAGGTGGGGCAGGAACAAATCACAATGGGGGAATATCATCAGTTAAGGCAGGAACTGGCCATTTTCACTTCTTTTGTGATTCTTCACTTGCTTCGGGCCATCTGGACATATACGTGCAGGTCACAGGGGATATGATGGCTTAGCTTGGGCTCAGAGGCCTGACATTCCTGCCTTCTTATATTAATAAGAAAAATAACATAAAATAGTATTGAAGTGTTGGGGCAGCAAAAATCCTTGGAGGTGGTATGGAGAGATAATGGGCGATATTTCTCAGGGCGGGATTAGGGGCAGCGTGGGAACCTAGAGTGGGAGAGATTAAGTTGAAGGAAGATTTTGTGGTAAGGGGTGATATTGTGGGGTTGTTAGAAGGAGCGTTTGTCATATAGAATGATTGGTGATGGCCTGGATGCGGTTTTGGATGAATTGAGAAACTAAACGGAAGCTACAGGGTCCAAATAAAAGAAGGAGAAAAATAGGTATTAAAGGACTAAGAGTTGGGAGGACCTAGGACATCCAATTAAAGAGTGCCCAAGGGGGTTCAGTGTAATTACTTGCTTGGTTGGCGAGTTTTTGGGAAAAGACCATTAGTCCATTTTACCTTTCCTGAAGATTGAGGACAGAAAGGGGTATGAAGGTTCCACTGACTACCAAGAGCCTGAGAAACTGCTTGGGTGATTTGACTAGTAAAGGCCAGTCTGTTATTGGACTGTATAGAGGTGGGAAGGCCAAACTGAGGAATTATGTCTGACAGAAGGGAAGAAATGATGGCGGTGGCCTTCTCAGACCCTGTGGGAAAGGCCTCTATTCATCCAATGAAAGTGTCTACACAGACCAAGAGGTATTTTAGTTTCTTGACTTGGGGCATATGAATAAAGTCAATTTGCCAGTTCTGGGCAAGGGTAGGGAAGGGAGGGGGCCTGAACAATCCCTGAGGAATAGTAGAATAGCAGATGGAACCCTGAGAAGTGATTTCCTTGAGGACAGATTTCCACAATGGAAAGGAAATGAGAGGGTCTAAGAGATGGGCTAGTGGCTTGTAACCTACATGGAAGAAGCTATGAAATGATGACAGAATAGAATGGGCCTGTGAGGCTGGAAGGAGATGTTTTCTTTGGTCTAAGAACCATTTGCCTTATGTGGGAAGAGATTGATAGGTGGCAGTTTCAGTGGGGGAGTAGGTGGGAATGACTGATGAGAAGGAGAAAAACTGGTAGTAAGGGACAGAAGTTGGAATGCTAGCTGCTTCTTTAGCTACCTTATCAGCATAAGTGTTGCCCTGAGCGATGGGATCTGACGCCTTTTGATGGCCCTTGCAGTGAATGACTCCAGCTTCCTTTGGAAGTAAAACAGCCTTGAGAAGAGTTTTTACTAAAGAGGAATTAATGATGGAGGACCCTTGCGTAATGAGGAAAACTCTTTTGACCATATAACAGCATGGTGGTGCAGGATATGGAAGGCATATTTGGAGTCAGTATAAATATTGACACATGGTCCTTTTGCAAGAGTGAGGGCTCAAGTCAATGAGTTTGGCTTGCTGAGAAGTAGTGGAGGGGGGCAGAAAGTATATGCATCAGGTGTGAGGAAGAAAATAGCTTTTGGAAGTTATGAGAACTGTAGAGAGTGAGTTGAGCACAGTTTGTGATTTTGAGGGCCCCTAAAAGTATTAAGGCAGTGGCAGCCACTGCACGCAGACATGAGGGCTAGGCTAAAACAGTAAGGTCAAGTTGTTTGGATAAAAAGGCCACAGGGCGTGGTCCCAGTCCTTGTGTAAGAATTTTGACCGCACAGCCCTGCACTTTGGCTATGTGTAATGAAAAAAGGGTTGGGATGAGTCAGGGAGAGCTAGTGTGCGAGCAGTCTCTAAAGCTGTCTTCAAGGAATGGAAAGAGGAGTGGGGAAAGGATTTAGGATCTATGGGGTCAGCTAGGTTTCCTTTTGTGAGTTTATAGAATGGTTTTTTTAGGATGACAAAACCAGGTATCCAAAGACAAAAGTATCCAATCATGCCCAGGAAGGAAAGGAGTTGTTTTGTAGAAGGGGTTGGGGGTTTGAGAGATCAGTCGGACACAATCGGCAGGGAGAGCACGTGTGTTTTTATGAAGAATTATGCCAAGATAGGTAATGGATGAGGAAGAAATTTGGGCTTGACTGAAGTAATGCGGGCTGTCCGTGAAGCCTTGCAGCAGTACAGCCCAGGTAATTTGCTGAGCCTGATGGATGTCAGGGTCAGTCCAAGTGAAAGCAAAGAGAGGCTGGGATAAAGGGTGCAAAGGAATAGTAAAGAAAGCATGTTTGAGATCCAGAACAGAATAATGGGTTGTGGAGGGGTTGTGGAGGGAGGTA